>NC_000014.9:75369288-75520803 GCF_000001405.40 Homo sapiens | reverse complement strand
CCCTCAATAGAATGTTAAAACCATTTACACCTTTATTAATATATTCAACAAACGTTCATGGTGCATCTACCATGTGCCAGGCACTAAGTACTGAGGATACAGTTAGTAAAAAGAAGCTTGACTTTTTGTCTAAATGAGATAGTCTATCAGTGTTCGCTGCCCAAAAAACTACCAGAAACTTCGATGACTCAAGCCATTTATTTGGCTCATGAGTCTGTGGGTCATCTGAAAGGTTCTTTGGGGATAGGCTGGGCTAGGCTGATCTCGGCTAGGCTCGGTCATGTGTCCTCAGACAGCTGGTAGGTTGGCTGATAATTGACTGGTCTGGCCTGGCTTTGCCTTGGGCATTTCTCCTCCACATGGTCTCTCATCCACCAACAGGCTGGTCGGAGCATGTTTATTTGATAGTGGCAGGATTCCAAGAGTAGGAGCAGAAGCATTCGAAGCCCCATGGAACCCAGGCTCAGAGCTAGCACAGAACTCAGAACCTGCCACATTCTATTGGCCGAGGAGAGTCACAAGGCCAGTTCAGACTCAATGAGTTGAGAAACAGACTTCACTTCTCGATAGGAAAAATTTAACTAATTGTGGCAATTTCTACAATCTCCTACAGATGAGAAGCCATTGGAGGTGTCAGAGCAGAGGAGTGACATGATCTGACTTAGGTTTTTAGAGGATCTCTCTGGACACAGTTGAGATTTTACGATAGGGGAGCAAAGTGGAAGCAGGGAGATGAGTCAGGATTTCAGTATTGGATTACTGCAACCATCCAAACAAAAGATGCTGGCAGCATAGGCCAGTTAGACAGTGATGAAAGTGGTGAGAAGTGGGCCCTGTAAAAACCAAAGTCTGTGTTTCTCTTGTTTATAGTCATATGCTCAGTACCTAACAGATGCCGAGTAAATGGTTTTCAAACGAATGAATGCATAAGTGAATTCACTTTGCTCTTCATTTATGGCACTTATGACCTGCATTATCCTAGTGTATTGAAAGCCCTTTCAGGACAATAATAGTCATATTTATGTTTCATTCGGTTTAAATTAACATTTATTTATCACCTATTACAGAGCAGAATTCTTAAATATGAATAAGACAGAGACTCTGCTCTCACAGAAAAAAGAAAACATAGTCAAATAACCAAACAGGTTATTATAAATGTTACAAGCGTTCTAAGTATTACAGCGTATGGATGAAGTTCTTAGCTCTTTGAACATCCTATCATTCAACAAGTAAACACTTGTTGAATGAATGATTGCTTGATTCTGTCATTCCCAATCAATGTACTGATTTAATATTTAACAGAGACTAATGAGAGAAATGCAAAATTAGTTTTTACATAAAAAGACGGGTCTTATTTAATAGTATTAATTATACATTATTTTTAAATATTTAAGATTAAAAAATAATAAACACTTATGTAGCCACCATTAAGCTGAAGAAATAAATTATGAATAGAGCCGAAGCTTCCTTCATCCCTTTCTAATTCCGCTTCCTCCCCACCCCAGGTAACCCATTATCCAGATGTGGGGTTTATCATTCTTATGCATTTTTCTATACTTGAACCAAACCTGTATGTATGCCTAAGCAATATATAATATTGTCCTGCAGGATTTTAAACTTTTTACCTTGCTAATATTTTTTATTTGATTTTCAGCATTGTATCTGAATGGTAATGGCAAGGTTTGGGATATACACATCCCACTGATGTTATCCTGGAGAACTCCAGGAAGCTACCAAGTAACAGTTATAATAAAACTGGCATGCGCTCAGTGAACATCAGCCTAAAGCCTAAAGATAGTATTAAGGTAGTGGTTGCTGGATACTACAAACCCTTATGCTGACAGCTGGCTGATATAGGGCCTGGTACAAACTAGAAAACAGCGCCACCTCTAGGTAGGCAACCTCATACCAAAGCGTATGGCCTGGCAAGCCCTCACTTGACCTCTCAGGTTGGAGCCCTTGAACAGTGAACAACCTGCACAACTATACCTAGCATCCTTGCCATATGCTACTTACTGTGTACCGGGAATAGTATATGAATTGGCTCCATTTAATTCTCATGACAGTCACAGGAGGTAAGCACCGTTTCCCCACCTCACCCCATTTTATGTATGTGGAATATTGAGGCACAAGGAGATTAGGTAACATTCCCAAGATCATACAGCTAGAAAAGTCACTGGAGCTAGGACTCAAACTCAGGCAATTTGGTTCAATGCTTATAAGCACCATGCTCTACCACATCTCATTTTAATCTTCCCCAGGATTCCACAGAGCAGGTATCATAATTAGATTCTAAAATTTATATGCAATTAAGGCACAGAGAGTTCGATCATTTGCCCAAGGTCACACAGTTAGCAAGTGACAGAGTTGGGAGCAGTCTAACGTATTCAAACAGTAGACAACTGCCAAGATGCTACTCAGCTCCAGGCTGTCATTAGAAGAATGCCAAGAAATAACCATACCTCCAAACCTCCTGCCCTTAGATTACTTTATTAGGCTTGGAACCCTTGTAATTGCTGTAATAATTACTAGGAACTTGGATATAGCTGTTTTACTTGGTATAAACTTTCTGGAAACACGTTCAGGAAAAAATTCAAAAGACCACTCCAGTTTGAAATAATGAAGGGTGGGGGAATGTGGGGCGGGGAGGGTCACATGCATTAAAATGCCTTAATTGCCCTAAATTTTTAAAAGAAATATAGTTGGAATACTTTGGGATAAAAGACTCCTCAAAACACTCTGTGCATTTATGGCATTTTAAGAATAAAGGTAGGCTGGGTGCAGTGGCTCATGCCTGTAATCCCAGCACTTTGGGAGGCCAAGGCAGGCAGATCACTTGAGGTCAGGAGTTTGAGACCAGCCTGGCCAACATGGTGAAACCCTGTCTCTACTAAATATACAAAATAATTAGCTGGACATGGTGGCGCACTCCTGTAGTCCCAGCTACCCGGGAAGCTGAGGCATGAGAATTGCTTGAACCAGGGAGGCGCAGATTGCAATGAGCGGAGATTGCCCCACTGCACTCCAGCCTGGGTGACACAGCAAGACTCTGTCTCCAAGAAAAAAAAAAAAAAAGAGTAAATGTAGAGCCTCCTGTTTCAGCTATCTATTGCTACACAATGAGTTACCCTAAACAACTTTAAACAATAAGCATCTATTATCTCACACAGTTTTTGAGAGGCAGGAATCTAGGAACACCTTGGCTGAGTGGTTCTGGCTCAGGATCTCTCATGAGGCTGCAGCCAAGTTATCAGCTGAGGCTCTGGTCATCTGAAGACTTGATTGGGACTGGAAGATTCATTTACAAGATGGCTCCCTCATATGGATGTTGGCAAGACATCTCAGTTCCTCCTCACATGAGTCTCCCCACGGGGCTGCCTGAGTGTCCTCCCCATGACATGGCAACTGGCTCCCTGGAGAGTGAACAACAAGAGAGAGAAATAAAGAAAGAGAGAGAGACAGAGAGAGAGAGAGAGAGAGAGAGAGAGAGAGAGAGGAGTTGCAGTGTCTTTTATGACCTAGTCCTCCATCTTTGTTCTACTCTTGGGGCCGGGTGGCATGGCTCATGCCTGTAATTCTAGCACTGTGGGAGGCCGAGGCAGGAGGATTGCTTGAGTCCAGGAGTTTGAGACCAGCCTGGGCAACATGGTGAGACCTTGTCTCTACAAAAAATTAGCTGGGCAGAGCTGAGGTGGAAGAATCACTTAAGCCCAGGAGGCGGAGGTTGCAGTGATTTGAGACTGAGCCACTGCACTCCAGCCTGGGCAACAGGCTGACCTAAAAGAAAAAAGTAGAATGGAGCACTGAGTCCAGCCCACACTTGAGGGGAGGCAAATGAGTCTCTACCTCTTAGAGGGAGGAGTATTAAATAAAGAATTTATGGACTTAAAATCACCATATTCCCCAACTGATTTCTGAGGAGACATTTAGCTGGATGTAAGCAATATGATATGAGGTCGAGGGGGAGTTGAGAGGCAGCATTCTGGTCCTAGCTTTGCCCCCAATTGACTCTGAGATTGTAGGAAGGTCTCCTTCCCTCTCTGGGCCACTGTTTCCCCAGGTGTAAATTTGGTGGGAGGGAATGGCAGAGAGGAAGAATGCTAGAGTCCACTTTGTGAATCTCAGTTTGGCAGAAGGAGGAAAACCCTACCTTGTTCTTTCATGGTTCTATTTCCTCTGGTTGAGAGCAACAGACCCTGCAGCCAGCCCGGTCTAGAAGATATCAGCAAGAGACTTCACCTCTCTATGCCTCTTTCCATACCTAGAAAACGGGAGGATATCACACCACCAATATCATAGGGTCGTTATAAGGATCAAATGAGTTAATGTTTGTAAAGTTCTTAGAATAGTCTCTGGTACATGGGCAATACAATATGAGTTTTTAACTTAAAAAAAAAAAACCTTATACTGCTCTAATTAAATATGGCCAGCACAGAGTCCTGCAGCAAGCTGCTTTCATGAGTAGATTGAAATGATGTCTAATTAGGGGTGACACAGCTGACAACCCATGTAGCGTGGGTTCCCACCATTCAGCACAGCCCCTACTCCCTGCCGTGCCAAGCAAATAACCTTTTAGTTGCTGGATCTTGGGGAGGTGGGAAGGGGGTTGGTGCCAAAGGAGGGGAAGGAGGGAGGAAGGAAACTCCAAGGATTTAGGGAAGCAGCTACTTGTCAACCTCTATTTCAGCGTTTTAATACCAGTGCCTATTGGATCATCCTTGTTCAAAATCAGCAGCAGGATATACTGCACATAAATGGGTTCTTAAGGTAATTGAAAACATATTTTTTAAAAGTGCAACAAACCTGCTATATCCTTACCAGTTCAGTCCCCCTGTTCCTTTGCTATTCTCAGTGCCAGGACAAATAGAAACTTCAGTCCAACGCCTGGTGAATCTGCCCACTTCAAAGACTTCGAGATCTAATTGCCTGCTATTTTACAAGAGCAGAGATGCTCTGGCCCAATCGTTAAGGAAACGAGAGCAGAAGAACCACGCAGAGCAGAAGCCTCCTGGGAGTCTGTGGTGTGGCCCCCCTGGCCAGGCTCACTGCAGAACGGAGCACTTCTCCTTCGTGAGAATCATTTCAGAAGTCAGGCTTCCTTCCCTGGAAGGAGATGCAAAATCTCCCAAGGCCAGAAAGAAGATGGGAAATTCTAGCTTGGGACTTAGCCTCAGATATTCCAGTGTAGGTGGCCTGGTGCGGGCCTGAGCGTGGGCGTCTTTTAAAAGCCCCCAACTGGCTCTGACACAGCGATTTGATGGAGGAGAAATCCTGCAGCGATTTCTCCAGTAGGGGGCAGTTTGTGGCCTCAGGGTCCAGCTGGGCTTCTGGGCCAAGAGGAGTAGACACAGCGGGCCCTCTTTCGTCTCCGTTCTTTCTTTCTCACCTGCCTGGGGGCAGAAAGGAGCCGGGCTCCCTTGGCCTCATTAGCACCAACGGACTCCCGCTCTCTGAGGTTAACCAGCCCCGAATCTGTTCTCATCATCCGCCTTGAGCTCGCACTTGATCTTTTTGGGTTAACCCCCCAGTTCAAGTCATCAATGCATGCCAAGCAAGAGCTTGTGAAATGCAGGAAGTGTGAGCCGGTGCCCTCGGCGGCTGCCCGGGGCCGCTGGCGGTCTGGGTCTTTCGGGGCCACAGTGGGTTGCTTTCCCTCTGCAAGGCAGTTTCACTTTCCTAGAGCGCTGGCCCTGCATTCCCCAACAGCCCATCATCTAGTTATTAAAGATGAAACCCAGGGAGAAGAAAGGAGAATCTCCTGAGAGTACATGCAAATGTCCCCAGGCCCCCAGGGGCCCCACGCAGAGGGGGCTTGAGGCTGGGGGTGGGCGGAGGCCTTCGGTCTGTGTCGCCTGCCCCACCAGACCAGAATTCCCAGGTTATCCCCACTCCCCTGATCCACTGATACTAAACTCACTCTTTTTTTAATTTTTTCTGAGTTCCATCTGAGCGCCCCTTTGAGGGCTGACAGTCGCCTTTAAAGGAGTTGGCTGCCACTATTTAGTTATTTGAGCTAAAATAATAAAAATCCCCTAGCCGCTTTAATGTTTTTTTGGTGGAAAAAGCACACATGGTACATCTTCACTGCTCAGAAGATGGCTAAAGGGGATTTTTCTCAAAGTTTCCCAAACAAGTAGGGAAAACATTTACCTGAGGGCGGAGCCCTCCAGTAAGGGGGCCAGAGTGGGTGGCCAGGTGATGAAGGGGAAATCCCGCGGCGGAGTGGCCTACAGTCCAGCCCTCTCAGGCTTTGCAGCCTTGGAGGAAGCCTCTTAGGAGGGGTGTGGCTGCGCTTCATAAGGCCAGCCCCAGAGGGTTAGAACACATTTCCTCAACTGTGGCACTCTTGACATTTGGGGCGGATAATTCTTTGTGGCGGTGGGCCATCCTGTGCATTGTAAGATGTTTAGCAGCTTCTCTGGTCTCCACCCACTAGTTGCTGGTAGAACCCCAAGTTGTGAAAATAAAAAAATGTCTCTAGAATTGCCAGATGTTCTACGGGGAGGAGAAGCTAAATCGCCCCAGGTGAGAGCCACTGGGTTAAAGAACATGCATCCAAAGCTCCTGTTCTCTTGGTCAGTCTGGGCCTGGTGGCTGCCTTATAAACCCCCTTGAAGCTCAGGAAATTTCCGGATAGATGCACTTTGCACCACGCAGCTTCTGGGTCCCCAGGTTGTTGACCTACTTCAACCTGTGGGTATGGCCATGCTGATAGCACATCCAGCCAGCCACTGGCAGCAGCCGGAGTGGGCATCAGAGCTGCTTCCTGCAGGGCCTCCTCTTCCTGCACCTTTCAGACAGTAGGAAAGGGAGTGAGGCCTCTCAAAGGTTGAGAGAGAGGCCACTCCATTTTTCAGTTTCCCATCAGATTAAAAATGAAGATATATCAAAATAAGGTTAACAAAAAATATGGTATGTTTTAAAAGTAATGTACTTATACTACAACCAGAAAATGATGGAATTTATATGAGTATTTAATTCCTGGGTCTCTGGAGGTGGTAGCATCAATAAATGGAAAGTAACTCAAAAGCTGGGTAAATCTCCTCATCTCTCAGGCCCGGCTAAATATCTCAGGCTGGATATACGGCCTCACTGGAGTTAAGTGCTTTGAAAATGTGAGGCCTGAACCAAATGACTTTTCAGCATCCTTCCCTCACTCACTCAACCCTGACAGCATACAGAGAGAGACATGGTCAAGGAGGAAAGCAGGAACACGAAAACGGCCTCTTAGCTTTGGGTTTCAATATGAAATCCAATGTTCTGGCTCTGTCGCTTCATAACTCTGTGATCTTGGACAATCACTTAAAACTCTGTGCCTCAGTTTCCTCATCTATATAATGGTGCCACCTCATACCACTGAATGTATTTAAATTGCTTAGTGCAATGATTAGTGCCTAGTAAGCATACAGTGCCTATTAGCTATTACTGCCGTAATATTTGTTTTATGTAACCCATATAAAACTGGGATTATCCAAGTAGAGTCTCATCCAATAGAAATATTGAAAAAAAGAGAGTAAGACCGGATGGGGTGGTGCACACCTATGATCCCAGCACTTTGTGAGGCTGAGTCAGGAGGATCACTTGAGCTTAGGAGTTCAAGACCACCTCTAAAAACAATTTAAAAAATAGCTGGATGTGGTGGTGCACACCTGTAGTCCCAGTTACTCTGGAGGCTGAGGTGGGGGGATTGCTTGAACCTGGGACATCAAGGCTGCAGTGAGCTGTTATCATGCTGCTGCACTCTCTCTTGTCTGGGCAACAAGAGAGACCCTGTCTCAAAAAAAAAAAAAAAAAAAGAAAAGGGAAAAAGGGAATAACATCACATACCAACTTTCTATAAAAATCCTTTTTCTAGACAGGCACCGTGGCTCATGCCTGTAATCCCAGCACTTGGGGAGGCTGAGGTGGGTGGATCACCTGAGGTCAGGAGTTCAAGCCCAGCCTGGTCAACATGGTGAAACCCCGTCTCTACTAAAAATACAAAAATTAGCCGGGCATGGTGGCGGGTGCCTGTAATTCCAGCTACTAGGAAGGCTGAGGCAGGGGAATCACTTGAACCTGGGAGGCTGAAGTTTCAGTGAGCTGAGACTGCACCATTGTACTCCAGCCTGGACAGCAAGAGCAAAACTCTGTCTCAAAAAAAAAAAAAAAAATCAAAAAATCCTCTTTCTACAGTTTCCCTCGAAAGTCACCCTTCTCATGCCTTCTGTGCCTGTCTACCCCTTCCCTTCTGAGGCTTTCTCTGTTACTGCTCCCAAATCTCACAGCCCTGTTACCTTTATTCCTACTTTGCTGAGCAACTCAAGTCTCTACCTCCCAACCAAGCATTCTCTGTTCTTCAGCTGGACATCTCCAGGCCAGGGTTAGTGTCTCCTACCTTTCCCACACCTGCATCTCCACCCTCTCCTGCTCCACAGGGTAAAGGTTCTATAGCTACAAGGCCCAAACAAAGATGCCTCCTCCAGGGGCAATTTGTTATCTGTTCACCTGTTGCTGGACAATGGCATTGTTTCCAGGTTTTGATTGTTCTGAATAAAGTGACTGAATATTCATGTCAAGTCTTTTGGGGGACATATGCTTTCACTTTTTGGGGGTGTATACCTAGAAGGGACTTCTTACAACCTTGCAATATTTATTTGTTAGTTTGAGTTGCTTTTGTGTAGATTCCTTAGGATTTTCTTAGATGATTATGTTGTTTGTGAATAAAGACTGTTTTACTTTTTCCTTTCCAACCTATCTGCCTCTTTTTTTTGGTGTGTGTGTGACAGGTTCTCACTGTGTTCCCCAGGCACTGGAGCACAGTGGTGGAATCATAGCTCACTGCAGCCTCAAGCTCCCAGGCTCAAGCGATCCTCTTACTTCAGCCTCCAGAGTAGCTAGGACTACAGGTGCCTGCCTCTAGGCCCAGCTAATTTTTAAAATAATGTTTTGTAAATATGTAGTCTCTCTGTGTTGCCCAGGCTGGTCTTGAACTCCTGGCCTCAAGTGACCCTCCCACCTTGGCCTCCCAAAGTGCTGGGATTACAGGTATAAGCTACTGCACCCAGACACATTTGCCTTTTTGTAGAGTTTAATGTTGAATAAAGGTTTTGAGAATACACATCCTTGCCTTGTTCCTGATATTAAGAGATAAGCATTCAGTCTCTTACCACTAAATATAATGTAAGCTATAGGTTTTTTTTGTAGATGCTCTTTTGTCAGGTTAAGGAAATTCCCTTTTATTTCTAATGTGTTGGGACCCTTTATCCTGAATATGTGCTGAATTTTGTCATTTAACAAAATAACAAAGGCCTTTTCTGAGTCTATTGATATAATTTTATAGTTTTTCTCCTTTATTCTATTATTATGATGAATTATAGTAACTGATTTTTGAATGTTAAACCAACCTTGCATTCCTGGAATGCACTCTACTTGTTCATACTTCTTTAGTGTATTTTAAAATTGAGATACAATTCACAAACCATGAAATTTAACTTTTTAAAGTACACAATTCAGTGTACAGAGTTTCACAGAGTTGTGAAACCATTACCACTATCTAATTTTAGAATATTTTTATCACCCTAAAAAAACCCCTCTGTTCCTGTTAGCAATTATTCCCCATTCCTCTCCCCCTCAGCTCTTGGAAAGCAGTAATATACTTTCTGTCTCTGAATTTGCCCATTCTGGCTATTTTACATAAATAGAATAATGTAATATGTGGCCTTTTGTGACTGGCTTCTTTTATTTAACATGATGCTTTTAAGGCTCATCGTGTTGTAGCATGTATCAGTACTCCATTCCTTTCAATGGCCCAATAATATTCCATTGTATAGATATACTACACTGTGTCCAGTCACCAGTTGATGAACATCTGGTTTGTTTCCATATTTTGACTCTTACAAATGAGGCTACTACAAAGTTTGTGTACAAGTTTTTATGTGGATATATGTTTTCAATTCTTTTACATCATACGTCACTCTATGTTTAACTGTTGAGGAACTACCAGACTGTTTTCCACAGCAGTTGCCCTGTTTTACATTCCTACCAGCAATATCTGAGGGTTTCAGTTTCTCCACATTCTCACTAATGCTTGTTATTCATCTTTTTTATTATAATCACCTAGTGGTTGTGAAGTTGTATCTCAGTGTGGTTTTGATTTGCATTTGCCTAATGACTAATGATGTTGAAACTCTTTCCATATCCTTATTGCCTATAATATATATTCAAGTATATATAGAGAAATGTCTATTCAAATCCTTTGCACATTTTAAAAATGGATTTTTTAAAATGTTGAGTTGTAAGAGTTGTTTATATATTCTTGATACTAGATCTTTGTTAGGTATATGATTTGCAAATATTTTCTGTGGTTGTCTTCCACTTTCTTGATAATATCATTTGTAAAGCATTTTAAATTTTGATGAAGCCCAAGTTATCTATTTTTATTCTTTAGTTGCTTATGCTTTTGGTGTCATATCTAAGGAGCCATTGCTTAACCCAAGGTTACAAAGATTTACATCGACTTTCTTCTAAGAGTTTTGTAGTTTTATGCTTTACATTTAAGTCTTTGATCTATTTTGAGTTAATTTTTGTATGGTGTGAGGTAGAGGTCCAAATTCATTCTTTTGCATGTAGATATCCAGTTGTCCCAGCACCATTTATTGAAAAGATTATTCTTTCCTCATTAGTAATTTTGTCACCCTTGTCAAAAATCAATGGATCATAAATGTGAAGGTTTATTTTTGGGCTCTGAAATCTCTCCCATTGATATATGTGTCTCTACCTCTGCTGGTTCCACACTGTCTTGTAGTAAGTTTTAAAATTGGGAAGTATGAGTCCTTTGACTTTGTTCTTCTTTTTCAAAATTGTTTAGGCTACTCAGAACCTTTGAATTTCTATATGAATTGTATAAGATCAGCTTGCCAATTTCTGCCAAAAAGACAGCTGGAAAATGATACAGATTGCATCAACTCTGTAGAGCAATTCAGGAAACATTGCCTTCTTAACAATATTAAGTCTTCCAATCCATGAACAAGGGATATCTTCCCACTATTTTTTAGTCTTCTTTGTTTTGCAATTTCTGATGTATAAGGGTTGCACTTCTTTGGTTAAATTTCATCCTAAGTATTTTATTCTTTTTGATATAAATTGTTTTGATTATAAATAGAATTGTTTTCTCAATTTCATTTTTGTATTATTCATAGCCCGTATACAGAAATAAGTAGTTTTTGTGTATTGCTCTTATATCTTTCAACCTAGTTGAACTTGTTATTAGCTCTAATAGATATATATTGAATCTAATAATATGTAAAAATATATTTTTTAGGGGGGATGGATTTCTTAGGGTTTTCTATATACAAGATTATCTCATCTGTAAATAGGGATAGTTTTACTTTTTTCTTTCCAACATGGATGCCTTTTCTCTCTTTTTCTTGCCTAATTATCCTGGCTGGGACTTCTAGCACAATGTTAAATAGAAGTGGTGTATGAGAGGATATCCTTGTCTTGTTCTTGGTCTTACTGGGAAAGATTTTGATCAGTCTTTCACTAATAAGCACAATGCTAGTTGTGGGTTTTTCATAGATGTTCTTTGTTAAGAAAGTTCCCTTCTACTCATAGTTTTTCAAGTGGTTTTTAATAAAAAGCAGTTAGATTTTGTCAAATGCCTTCCTGTGTATATTGAAATAATTCTGTCATTTTTGTCCTTTATTGTATTAATATAGTAATATTGATATGTAAATATCAATATGTAAATTGATATGTAAATACCAATATTTACATTGATTTTTATATGTTGAATCGATCTTATTTTCTGAGCTAAGTCCCACTTGATCATGATGTATGTTCCTTTTTATATGTTGTTGGATTCAATTTACTAGTAATTTGTCCAGAATTTTGCATCTATATGCATAAGAGACATTGGCCTTTAGTACTCTTGTGTTATTTTCTAGCTTTGGTATCAGAGTAATACTGGCTGCATAGAACACATTGAAAAGTGTTCCCTCCACTTCTACTTTGTGAAAGAGTTTGAGAAGGAGTGGTGTTAATTCTTCTTTAAACATTTGATAAACTTCACTAGTGAAGCTATTTGGTTCCAGGTTTTCCCTTTTGACAATTTTTTGATTACTAATTCAGTCTCTTTATTTATTTTCAGTCTATTCAGATTTTTCTATTTCTTCTTGATTAAGTTTTGGTAGCTGTGTCTTTCTAGGAATTTGTCTATCTTATCTAGATTATCCACTTTATTTGCATACAACTTTTCATAGTATTCACTTACAATTCCTTTTATTTTTGTAAGGTCAACAGTAATTTTCCTTCTCTTATTTTTTATTTTAGTAATTCAAGTCTTATTTCTCCCTCTCATCAGACTAGCTAAAGGTTTTTCATACTTGTTAATTTTTTCAAAGACCAACTTTTTATTTCATTTTTTTCTATTACATTTATATTCTCTATTTCACTTTCTTCTGCTCTTATCTTTATTGTTCCATTCTTTCTGCTTCCCTTGGGTTAGTTTGATCTTTTTCTAGTTTCTTAAGGTGGAAGATCAGGTTATTGATTTGAGATTTTTCTTCTTTTCTAACATATTTGTATGCAGTGATTAATTTCCCTCTGAGCCATTCTTTAGCTTCACCCCATAAGTTTTGGTATGTTGTGTTTTGTTTTCATTAATTTCAAAGTATTTTCTAATTTCCATTGTGATTTTTTTCTTTGACCTATTGGTTCTTTAGGAGTGGTTTTAAAATATCCCTATCCTTTTGAATTTCCCACATATTTTCTCCTATTGATTTCTAATTTTATTCCACTGTGATTGGAGAACATACTTTGTATGATTTCAGCCCTTATAACTTTATTGAGACTATCATATGGTCTCTTCTGGAAAATATTTCATGATGCACTTGAGAAGAATGTGTGTTTTGCTGTTGTTGAGTGGAATATTCTATTAATGTCTGATTTAGGTTCAAGTTTTTTATTTCCTTGTTGATCTTCTGTCATTCCATCTATTAATGAAAGTGGGGTATTAGAGTCTTCAACTATTATTATTATTATTATTATTTTGAGACAGAGTTTCACTCTTTCACCCAGGCTGGAGTGAAGTGGTGCGATCTCAGCTCACTGCAACTTCTGTCCCCCAGGTTCAAGGGATTCTCTTGCCTCAGCCTCCTGAGTAGCTGCGATTACAGGCGCCTGCCACCAGGCCCGGCTAGTTTTTTATATTTTTAGTAGGCATGGGGTTTTGCCATGTTGGCCAGGCTGATCTCGAGCTCCTGACCTCAGGAGCTTTCCACTTCAGCTTTCCAAAGTGCTAGGATTACAGGCATGAGCCACTGCACCCGGCCTCAACTATTATTCTTGTATCGTCTATTTCTCTCTTTAATTCTGTGAGTTTTTGCTTCATTTATTTTAAGGACTATATTGTTAGCTGCATATATATATTCATAATTGTTAAGTTTTCTTAATGGATTGACCCTTTTATTATTGTCAAGTGTCCTTCTTTGCTGTAGTAACATTTGTTGATTTTTGTCTGATATTAACATAGCTACTTCAGCTTTCTTTTAAATACTGTATTCATCGTTTATGTTTTTTTCCATCCTTTTACATACAACCTATTTATGTCTTTGAATCTAAAATATGTTTCTTATAAACAGCATTTGGTTGGATTTTTTTTTATCCATTCTGCCAGTCTCTGTTTTTTGATTGGAGTATTTAACCTATTTATATTTAATGTAATTACTGATAGGGTAAGATTTATATCAGCCATTTTGCCAGTTGTTTTCTACATGTCTTATGTCTTTTTTGTGCCTCTATTCCTCCATTACTGCCTGCTTTTGTGTCTCATGGATATTTTCTAGTGTACTATTTTAACTAACTTGCCATTTCTTTTATCACATTTTTTGAGTTGTTTTTTTTTAATGGTTGCCCTGGGGATTACAATTAACAGCTTAGAATAATATAGTTCAGGTGAATACAAACTTTAATTTTAAGTTTGTAGATTATTAATTTTAATAATTACAAAACTTTACTTCTTTATAACTCCATTTTCCTCCTCTTCACTTGTGCTAATATTATCATAAAATTACTTCTTTATTTACTATATGTCCATCAACACATATTTATAGTTATTACTTTTTGCAGTTATCTTTTAAGTCAGATTGGAAATAAAAATTGTTATAAACAAAATATACATTTACATTTTCTTGTATATTTACCCATGTAGTTAACTTTACTGGCGCTCCTCATTTCTTCTTGTGGATTCAAGTTACTGTCTAGTGTCCTTTCATTTCAGCCTGAAGGACTCTCTTTAGTGTCTCTTACAAGGCAGATCTAGTAATGATTTCTCTCAGCTTTTGTTTATCTGGGAATGCCTTAATTTTGCCTTCATTTTTAAATTATTTTAAAAATAAAAGTATAATTCATATACTGTATAATTCACCCATTTAAAGTGTACAATATAATGGCCTTGAGTGTATTCATAGAGTTACGCATTCATCACAACAATCAATTTTAAAACGTTTTCATTGCTCCAAAAATAAACCCTGCACCCCTTAGCCATCCCCCCCCCAAAATCTCATCTATCCATTCGCTCAAGCCCTAGGCAACCACTAATCTACTTTCTGTCTCTATAGATTTTTCTATTTATGGATTTAATTGACTGTGTAAAAGAACCATCTTTTGATTTTATTGATTATCTTTGCTCTGTTGGTTTTCTCTGTACCTTTTTTCTACTGAGTACAGTCGTAGTTTATTCTTTCCGATTCCTGTTGATATTCCAGTGAATGAATGTACCATAATTTATTTGTTTATTCAATTATTGAATAAATTTTGGGTTTTTAGGCACATCTTTGATATGTTCCTAGCACTTCAATCCTATTCTTTATGTATTTTTATCTTTTCCCTTTCACAATGGAATACCCAGAAAACTGACTTACATCCAATGAGTAAAGACTTACTGCTCTCAGCATATGCAATCAATTCCATTTTTTTGTCTCAGTTGCTAGGAGATTGAAAGATCTACATTTCATATCATTAATGTTAGCACTTTCACTTTTCTAGTTTTTACTATTTTAAGAAAAAAGCAATATGAAATAAAATATTAGATAATTACACAAAAAGGCTGCTATATAAAGAGGCAAGCCTCCTGACATTGAATTGTTGACTGGCTGAGAGAACCACCAAATATCCCGCTCTTTTCCAATTCTCATTGAAAGGACAGCAAAAAACTGCAGTAAGGACTTGACTCAGGATAAAACTGATCAGGGAAATAAGGGGCATCAGCAGACTAGAGATTCCGATGTATTTCTAGAAGACTAAAAAAATGTTGGAAACGTGTATTATTTTATTTTATTTTTATTTTTTGAGACAAGGTCTTGCTCTGTTGCCCAGGCTGGAGTGCAGTGGTGTGATCACAACTCAGCTCTGCGTGTTCCTCCTACCTCAGCCTCCCGAGTAGCTGGAACTGCAGGAGCACATCACCACACCTGGCTAATTTTTTAAAAAACTTTTTGTAGAGATGGGGTTTCACCACGTTGCCCAGGCTGGTCTCGAACTCATGGACTCGAGAGATCCACCCATCTTAGCCTCCCAAAGTGCTGGGATTACAGGCATGAGCCACTGTGCCTGGCTGAAATGTGCCTTCTTTAGTCGATCAGTAAAAATCCAGTTTAGCACATGAAAGGAGACTGACTAGAGAGAGAGAAAGACAGTAGTACAATAGAAAACTATACAGCCACTAAAAATGATGTTGCAAAAGAATGATAAAATAATAATGTACAATGATGTTCACGATATATTAAATTATTATAAATATATTGATATACAATATATAATAACTAAATAATAATATAAATAAATTTAAAGGCAAGTTAAAAAGCAATGTATTTAGCATGTTCGTATTCTTATTAAGAAAACACCTATGTATTTAATTGGCAGATTATGCATCAAAATGGTAACAATGACACAAACAATGTACATGTTTTCTCTAGCAAACAAGTTTCTATGGTTTGAATGCGTCCCCCAGAATTCATGTTTTGGAAACTTAATTCCCAATCCAACAGTACTGGGGCCAGTAAGTGGGGCCTAATGGGAGGTGTTTAGGTCATGAGGGCTCTGCCCTCACAAATAGATTAATGTTATCATAAAAAGGGTTTGAGAGCATAAGTTTGCTCTCTTGTACTTTTGCCCTTTCACCTTCTGCTATGTGATGGCACAGGAAGAAAGTTATGGCAAGATGCCAGCACCTTGATCTTGGACTTCCCAGCCTCCAGAACTATATACTAGTAAATTTCTG
This sequence comes from Homo sapiens, assembly GCF_000001405.40. Lineage (NCBI taxonomy): Eukaryota > Metazoa > Chordata > Mammalia > Primates > Hominidae > Homo > Homo sapiens. The sequence continues at coordinate 75,504,542 of NC_000014.9, read as the reverse complement.
TTCATTATTAACTAGCCAGTATCAGGTATTCTGTTATAACAGCACAAAGTGGACCAAGACATATATAATGTAATAATAGAAATGACCATAAATTGTTATATACCTACCGGAGACCAGATTTTAGAATATCTCCAAGCAATTTTAAGAATGTGGCTGTTAGAGGGGAATGGCAGTAGTATGGACAGATTGGGGTTTATATAGCTCAATAAAATTGATAGACTTTTGCAAGATTAAGCATCTTTTTCTCCATCAGCCTCATGTGTACATATGTCAAATTTTCCAATTCATGTCATAAGAAAGTCTTTAATCAACCTGGTTCCTCAGCAAATAGAACATGATTTGTCTTAACTCCATATGGTTTCCATGTTTGGACATACATGTTCCTACATTGCCCATTCTCCCCTTTGTGGCCTTTCCAACGTTCCTTTAATCTAGTCTCCCCATGGTAGACATAAACATCCTTGGGAATCTTAATGACAACATAAAGGGCCAGTTCCATGGAGCCTTACTAACTGCCACTCAGGAATGAAAGGATGAGATTTCCCTGTGAGCCGCCATCCTTTTGAACATAGAATTCATGTAAATGAAATATATCTGAGCAATGTATTTCTAAACGAATCTTGTGGTACTGATTTACGGGGCATTTTGTTTTTATTGCCACCCTGGAAGTAGGCAGGATAAAGCATATAACAGCCTCTCTATGCACACTACTATCCTCAAGGATATATCTGGAAGGATACAAGATTATTATTCCTCTCTCATTCTACTGGTAGGGATAGCTTTTTTGGATCCACGTAGATACATGGTAGGATTAAGAAGTTAAGGACTGGCTGGGCATGGTGGCTCATGCCTGTAATCCCAGCACTTTGGGAGGCAAAGGCGGGTGGATTGCTTGAGCTCAGGAGTTTGAGACCAGCCTGGGCAATATGGCAAAACCCTATCTCTCCAAAAAGAAAGAAAAGAAAACACAAGAAAAGAAAAGAAAAGAAAAGAAAAGAAAAGAAAAAAAAGTTAGCTGGGAGTGGTGGTGTGCACCAGTAGTCCCAGCTACTCTGGAGGCTGAAGTGGGAGGATCACTCAAGCCTGGGAGGCAGAAGTTGCAGTGTGCTGAGATCCTGCCACTGCACAATAGAGACTCTGTCTGAAAAAAAAAAAAAAAAGTTAAGGCCTGAGAAAATAGATGCACCAGTGGGCTTTCTAATTCCATTATTATCTAAAGATTACTCTTAAAACCCCCTCACATCTCTAATCCAAGACAGACTACTAAGCTCGTGTGCTTCACGTGCCATTGAGATGACAGAGAAGACATGCAGAGAGAAACAGATTCATAACAAAGCTTAATAATGGGAGGGAGAAATGTGAGCAGGTCAGGAGACAGCCTGAATAATTTCTGGGTAAGAGAAAATGAAAGAACCATCGTGAGAGAGAAACCATGGTGGAAAGAGCCTTGGCTAAAACTAGTAACGTGCAAGTGCCAAGACTGGAGTAGAAAACGGAGCAGAAATGAAGGTGGGCATCAGGGTACTGCCTCAAGTTGCACCATCCAACATGATAGCCACTAGCTACATGTGGGTATTGAGCCCTTGAATGTGGCCAATTAGTTCTATTAGAAGCAGAACTAATCAATTTTATTTTTATTTATTTATTTATTTACTGAGCCAGAGTCTCGCTCTATCACCCAGGCTGGAGTGTAGTGGTGAGATCTCGACTCACTGCAACCTCCGCCTCCCGGTTCAAGCGATTCTTCTGCCTCAGCCTCCAAAATGGCTGGGATTATAGGTGCCTGCCACCAGGCCCGGCTAATTTTTATATATTTATTAGAGACAGGGTTTCACCATGTTGGCCAGGCTGGTCTTGAATTCCTGACCTCAAGTGACCCACCCGCCTCAGCCTCCCAAAGTGCTGGGATTACGGGTGTGAGCCACTGCGCCTGGCCAGAACGAATTAATTTCAGATGCGCACTGAAGTATTTAAGAGTGATGTGTCATGTTATCTACAAGTTATATATAGATAGTATCTTAGATGATATTATTAAATTATTGTTAAATTCCTTAGGTGTGATAATGACATTGTGGTTATGTCCTTGTCTTTAGGAGATGTACACTGAAGTACTTAAGACTGATAGGTCATGTTCTCTACAAGTTATTTTCTAATGGCTTACAAAGAAATATGTAAGAGTGTGTGTGTGTGTGTGTGTGTGTGTGTGTGTGTGTGTTTGTGTTTAAAACTGGTGAACCTATTACAGAATGGAGGCTCACTGTTCTAGTATAGCAACTTTTTGATTGATTTGCTTTTTTCCCCAAAAATTTTTAAAAATGGGTGATAAAATGCTACATGATCATAGTAGGAAAAGTTTATGTTATTTTGTCACCAAGATGAAACAAAGGTGACTCCAGTAAAAATCTATATAGAAAGTTGTAATTTGAAAAAGAAGCAAACCAAAATGTAATACAATTTTATGCAATTGGTAGATTGTAACAATAAAAAAAATCCATTTGACATTTGATCTTGCAACAGTTCCCTTTAGGCGGCTCAGTTTGAATAGCATAGGATTACATTTGCTTGTCTGCAGGTCAAACCTCACTATTTAGATTGTCACTAAAGAATACACAATAAAATTATTGTAATTACTGTCTTCTGTTTTCAATTCTTAGGAACAATCTTTGAATAAAGCATGGAAGACTAAGTTATAGTAAAGTAATATAATAAAGTCATGGTAGAATAAAAAATGACAATGTTATTTATAGTGGTGTTTCTTCCGGTTTTAATTTTATTATTATATTTTCTTGTTTGTATGTTTGAAATATTTCACAGTAAAAAAAATTAAAAGTAATTGTTTATTAGCTGACCATAATCAGAAATAGAAATAGGAGATACAGAGAAGGTATTTATAAGTTCCCCAGAGAACAGACTCTGAGACTCTAAGACTTGGGTATAGGGAGGTTGTTGGAGAGTGTTCTCAGAAACATCACCTGTGAGAGTTGAGGGAGCCAAGACCAGGCAGGGGAGGAGTGAGTAGATACAAGGCCCCAGTCAATGCTGCAAGAAGTTTGGGAGGAGGCAGATGGCTCTTCAAAGTTGCTCCATTGAGGCCAATAGGCTGGCTACACCATTATAACACATAACCCATACTGACCAGTCACTGGATATGGGCTGCCCTCTGGGAGGTGGCATAATCTCTCACATAATCTCCAGGTAACTCCCTTCAGCCAAAAGCAATTCTTGGAGAGGGACTCAGCTGAGACCTCTTAGCTGCCAGCACTCCCCAAAGTTGGGGAATCAAGGCCTTGGTCCTGAAAGGGATCTGGGCAGCACGCCACACCACAGTGTCCATTACAAGGCAGAAGGAAGTCTGCCTTGTGTATTTTCCTGAACTTACACTTTGTAAGTTAGACATACTGTAAAAGGTGACGGGCCAAGAAATTGAGATGTAAGTATATTATTTAAAGTTATAAAGATTCCGATAGACTTAATATAAAAATAAAAATTGGGAGGGAGAACATGCGGTGAAATATAACTGAGTTAAATTCCTCAATATTCAAAGTATAAAGGAGTTTTCAAACAATCTTTAAAGTAGATAAACTAAGAGAGAGAAGTATAAACATATTTTAGAATTCTGCCTATAACCACAGGAGGACAAAACCTAGATCTGATTTTAAATGTTTACGTCTAAAGAGTCAGTCTAGGGGTAGGCCGGGAGATGTGGAAAACTTATGTTTTCTTTATCCTTTTGTAACTGTTTGAAATTTTATTACCACACACATGAACCATTTTTATAGTAGTTAAGAACAATAGCAACAACAACAAAAAAATCTCCCCCTTAGGAGCTGCTTGGAAAAACTTTCTCCTTTTATCTCCTTCCAACAGATAAACTGATTCAATCTGGACTCTCACATCTTATTCCTGATCCGAAAGTGTTGCCCGGAAAGCATAAGATGACCAGGCTTAGATAATACTCTACAGTTTTGTTTTTAATTTTAATTTTTTTTTTTTTGAGACGAAGTCTTGCTCTGTCACCCAGGCTGGAGTGCAGTGGCATGATCACAGCTCACTACGGCCTCTGTCTCCCAGGTTCAAGCGATTCTTCTGCCTCAGCCTCCTGAGTAGCTGGGATTACAGATGCGCACCACCATGCCTGGCCAATTTTTGTATTTTTAGTAGAGATAGGGTTTCACCATGTCAGCCAGGCTGGTCTCAAACTCCTGACCTCAAGTGATCTGCCCACCTCGGGCTCCCAAAGTGCTGGGATTACAGGTGTGAGCCACCATGCCCAGCCTTATTTTTTTTTAATTAAAATTTAAAAACCATTTAAACCTATTTACTTATTTACCATTGTATGCCCTGCAGTTTTGAGTGAACATCCTAAGGCTACCCTTTTGTGAGTTCTCCTTTTGGTTTAGTCCTGGCTTGGTTAGCAGAACCTAAAAGAATAGCCACTTCCAAAAACACGCTGGTAGGAGGTGAGGTTCCAAAGCCCAGTCCTGCCAGCTCCTATGGTGGGAAGAGCGACTGGAGCCTGGGGCCCGGGACTCCTGGCAACCCCAGCTCTACAAATGGCTGTGGGACTCTGAGAAAGCCTCTCCCAGGCTCAGGCGTCATCTGTGGAGTGGGAATAATAAAAGTAGCCACACGCTTTGTTGGGAGAGTTCAATGAGATGATGACTAGAAAGCGCTTAGGCCTGAGCACGTGGTCACCGCTCCTTAAATGTCTGCTGTGTTGGTGTCACTGCCGCTACCTTTTAGTTGTCACCGCTGCTCCTGGATTCCTCTGAAAAAGCTCAGGGAGACGCCATCTTCAAGCCTCATTAGGCATCTCCTTTGTGAAGAGCTCAGCCCCAAGGGCAAAATAAGGTCCCAGTGCTTCCAACAGTCCCTACTCTCAAGCCAGAGACAAAGAGAACAACGTCAGAGTCAATTCTCTAACTACCTTAATGACACTGAGAGCTGAGCCCTGAGCCCCGGGAAAGTTCCTGTGATGTGGTTGGAAAACTCCGTATCCCCTACTCAGCATGATGTCTCCGCCATTTGCTGGCCTGGATGTCCTGGACCCAGACAAAGCTCGACCATTTTCTGCTGTGTATGGTGTTCAGGACAGATGGTCCAGGCAGAAAGTTCAGCTCACTCTACCCAAAAATTTCACAGCAAGACCGCAGCTACGTGAATTCTACATTTTCTGTTGACAGCCCTGAAACCATAAAGTCCAGGTTCCAGTTGACTTAAAAAAAAAAAAAGAAAAGCACACGGTCATGGTGGTGTGCACATCCAGAAATTCAGACTGCGGGTCACCAGGCCCAGGGGCTTCTAGATGTTTAGTCTAAGGCAACAGAGTCTGGGCCTGCTACTGAGGTTTCTTGCTCTGAATCACCCAGCACAGAGGCAACCAGCAGTGGCTTTGACAACCCAAGCCACAGTTACACATCTCGCTGATTCTGAGGAAAGGGATGGTCCTCAAACTCTCTGGGGGCTCCCAACCTCATTTATAGAGCAGTTCTCTTGTATGTACAGTGGGTTGTAGAGCCTATTTCAGAATTTCTATGTCTACTTATTTTTATCCAAAAGTAATAAGAAAGAAATTAAGCTATGATCATATTTAATAATTAGTATAAGAGCAAACATCTATTTTGTAAATAAATATTTGTATACTGTCTTGTAAGCAATTATACATATGGTTTGTTTTTTTTTTTGAGATGGAGTCTCACTCTGTTGTCCAGGCTGGAGTGCAGCAGTGCCATCTCGGCTTACTGCAACCTCTGCCTCCTGGGTACAAGCGATTCTCCTGCCTCAGCTTCCCGAGTAGCTGGGATTACCGATGCGCACCACCATGCCCAGCTAATTTTTGTATTTTTAGTAGAGATGGGGTTTCACTATGTTGGCCAGGCTGGTCTTGAACTCCTGACCTCAAGTGATCTGCCTGCCTCAGCCTCCCAAAGTGCTGGGATAACAGGTGTGAGCCACTGCAGCCAGCCCTGTATTTATATTATATACAGACATGTACAAATATTTTTGCATGCTAAAAAATTTAACAGGGGGTGGGGTGGGCTAAGGCAGTGTGTCCCAGGCCATGGGTCCCTGTGCAAAATAATTTCTAATGAAATTTATAAATTAAAAAAATTCTTTTAATTTAACAGATGGAATGGATAATCCAGGAGGATTGGAGATGGCAGCTCTGCAGGACAAAGCCCCCACTCCCTCATGTGGTCCCTCTTCTTTCTGGTAAGCTTTCCAGCCAGAAGCTGGAGACGTTCCACTCTTCGCTGCTCTGGCCACTGGTCCAGGACCCCCACCATTGTCTTTCTCAGCTCTGCTCGTCTACTCTTTTTTTTTTTTTTTTTTTTTTTTTTTGAGGTGGAGTCTCGCTCTGTCACCGAGGCTGGAGTGCAGTGGCGCGAACTTGGCTCACTGCAAGCTCCACCTCCCGGGTTCACTCTATTCTCCTGCCTCAGCCTCCTGAGTAGCTGGGACTACAGGCACCTGCTACCACGCCCGGCTAATTTTTTGTGTTTTTAGTATAGACGGGGTTTCACTGTGTTAACCAGGATGGTCTCGATCTCCCAACCTCGTGGTCCGCCCACCTCGGCCTCCCAAAGTACTCTTCTATTCTTGCTGCTTCCTCTGGGTTTTCTCCTACCCCTTTGGCCTAGCCAACTCCTAGTTGTTCCTTAGGCCTGCACTCAGTTGCCATCCCCAGTGGGAAACGTTCTCTGATGCACCAGGATGGAGGTTCTTGGGAGCCCTTCACTGCCTGTGCATTCCCTTAGCATGGCGTTTTCATCTCATTGCCGCGCTATCCACAGGTCCATCTCACTCACTAGCTGTAGATAAGATCATCTTAGTCCCTCTGCTCCTCAGTACCCATTACAATGCCTGCAGGTGAAGTTACCAAGGAGGCCTCTTCTCTTCCATTCATGGTGCCAGGAAGACCACTGATTAAAACCCGTTGCAGAAAAGAAGGAGCATCTTCTCCAGACTCCCATTCCTTCCAGAGCATAGGTCAAATTGTGACTGCCAGGCCAAGAGTCTCTCTTCAAGAAAGAGAAGAAAGTTCCCCTTCAACAACACTCCCCCTACACCCCCTCAGGACTGTGGTTCCTCCAGCACGAAGTCTAACCAAGGACTTCCCCTGGTGGCTCTGTCAGAGCCCAGGCTGAGCGAGCTCCTTCTGCAGAAACTCGATAACATCAGAATATGGTGAGGTTCCAGGCAGCAGACCGTCCTTCTGCTGTGACTGGAAAAGAGGCCTTCAAAAGAGCTGAAGGCCTCCTCTGGGCAGGGACCTCCAGAGGCCCAGGGTGGCTGGCTTCTCAGGGTTTCTCATCACTGCAGCTCCCCTGCTTCTGCTCATCTCCCTCCATTTCCGCACAGGCCTTCCCCACGTGTCTGAGGATGGACACCCCCCAGCTCCTCGAGCCAATATTGCCTCAGTCCAAGCCATCAGAGGAGTCTGAGAAGCCCCTCAAAGTCAAAATTCCAAACTGGGAGAGGGACTCTCATGAGTCTACTTTGAGTCAAGAGTCTACTCCTGGGCCCCTCAGTCACTCATTGGGGGTCTTACAAACATGGCTGCCAGAGCCCACTCTTACAGAGGGCGCTGGACAGCTCCCACAGACAGGGGCTGAGGGGACTGTAGTTGAGAGCACGCTCTCAAAAGTGTCATCTGTAGGAAGTAAAGAAGGAAGCAGAAAAATAGAAGCTGAGTTTCTATTCAGGGCCCGATGCTTTGGCAAATGTCTTAAAAATAAGGAGTTTCACTCCCTGGAGAAGAGGGTTAGGGTTTTGTGTCCACCTCATGCCAGGAACTCTGCAATAGGGCAGAAGGTGGGAGACCTACTTACCTTGAAGGAGCTAACAATCCCTTGGGAATGTCACAAAGGAAACTAAAGTGGCATTAGAAAGCCTGGCCCCTCCTTCGAGCCCACCCACACCCCATCCCTCAAGGCCTAGATCACGTTCCTCCTCCTCCTCCTCTGTGAAGCCTTTTCTCACCACTCCAGCTTTGGTGTTGAGAGGGACATGATGTGGTGTGGCAGAGAGAACCAGGGACTGAGAATCCATCACTAGGGACCTGGTTCTGGCTTTGCCACTAACTAGCTGTGTGACCCTGAAGATGCCGTTGGTCCAGCCTCAGTGGCCTCATCTGTAGGCTGAGGATGCTTGATCTACTCTAGGGAAGCCTTTAGGGAGGCTTAAAACTTTAAGAGTCTATGAAAAATGTTATCTCCAACTCCTTAGAACTTCTTCAGAATGAAAAGTCGGGGCAACATGATTCCTTTCCTAATTTCCAATGGTCTTATCGTGGTTCAAAGTGAAAATGCAACACGGCAGATTGGTTAGGAGCATGGGCTCTCAAAAGGTGACTTATCCATGCTCTGCAGTATCTTCTCATTGGCAGAATGTTCTAGAGTGGACTGTCTGGCTGCTTCCTGTGGTATTATAAGCTTTGCAAAAGCAGAAGACCTCCCACCTCCCGTGGTTTTGCACATTTGGAAGCTTGCCAGCTCTGGACAACCCAAATGACATCTATGTTTTCCTACCTACATTTGGGATCTTGACCGGCATTCTGGAACAAATTCTACCACTCCGGAAAATTTAAGCTTTCAGCTTCTTTTGCTGTTACCCATATGGTTGCCAAACTTGAAATTATGGTGTTGGCTAAATTCCCATCAATAATATCAGGTGACCCCTAGGGTTGTTGTGGGACTGGAAGTCGGCCAATTTCTATTACCTTAATGTATGAAGAGAAATGAACAGAGGTCCTAAGTGTTTTCAAATAGCTTGATAATTTATAGAAGAAGAAAAGAGAAAGAAGAAGAGGTAGAGGAAGAGGAGGAAGAGGGAGGGGAAAAAAGAAAAAGGAGAAGGGGAAAAGGGTGAGGGGAGGAGGTAATGAGGAAGAAAATGGCACTGAAATTTGACACAAAGAAAATAAACTAATTTTGAAACTCTCGGAACTACAACCTCACGCAGTTGGGTCTTTGTATAAGGATGATGTTGCTACTTTCTGTAGACAAAATCTCAAGGTGTCAAATGTCAAATGTCAGCAGTTGGAAGGACCTTGAAACTCAGAAACTCTATGAAAGGATATCCTTTCACATTGAGATTTTAGCTATCTCTTATGTTCATCTACGCAGAGACTTCATTTAAAATTCTGTTAAATGAAATCAACAGTTTTATGATACTTCCCTCCTCCAAAAAGGATGGGGGAAGCTAGAATCAGACGACTGAATTGAATCACAGCTCCACCCCTTGCAAACCATGTGCCTTTAGGCAAATTATTTAATCTTTCCGCATCTTAATTTTCTCACCTGAAAAATGAAGATATTACCAGTATATGTATCATGGAGCTGTTTGGAGGATTCCATGAATTTACAGCTTGGGTGCACTTGGTTAATGGCAGCCTCTGCCATCATTAATATGGCCATATCCTGTGATTCAGAATGTGACTCAGAGGCAAAGAGGTCTCACATCATGTGACAAGTCTTTGGGGCAAATGTCCGGTGACATCGCCAATTTCCTTCCCAAAGCCAAGAATCACTTAGCTCCATGACCGCCATGTTCACAGACTTCATTTCACTGGCCAGAGAATGGAAGCTCAGCAAAACCACACATGCCCCGGTGGCCCATGCTCCAGCTCAGCCTTTTAGCTATGCAGAGATGCACCACTTAATATTCCCCAACACCACCCCTTCTCTGCAGCATGGTAGAGGAAGGGTCCAGCACTTTGATTCACCTGTGCGAACATCTAAAGGTCGCTTCTCCCATGACACACAATGAGAGGACAACTGAGCTGAGATTCCCAGGGACCCTTTGGGCATCATGGGGATGGGAAGATGGGGTGTTGGAATCTCCCCATCTTTCAAGAAAGGTGACATCAGCATGGCCTGCTACCATGCACTCAGGCCAGAAAAGGTCTCAGCTGACCATCCTGGCTAACACGGTGAAACCCCGTCTCTACTAAAAATACAAAAAATTAGCCAGGCATGGTGGCGGGCACCTGTAGTCTCAGCTACTTGGGAGGCTGAAGCAGGAGAATGGCGTGAACCCGGGAGATGGAGCTTGCGGTGAGCCGAGATCACGCTACTGCACTCCAGCCTGGGGGACAGAGTGAGACTTTGTCTCAAAAAAAAAAAAAAAAAAAGAAAGAAAGAAAAGAAAAGAAAAGGTCTCAGCTATAATGAGACCACCTTGCCCCATCCCCACCCCCAAAATGACCACATGGACAGGGGCTGGCTCCCCTAGTTGTGGAATAATAGGGCACATGTACATCTGCTGATGCAAACCTTTAATGGATAATCATATAAGATATTTCACTATAACCAGGCTTCTTTTAAAGTTAGTACAATAGTTCCAACTTTCTTTATCACAATAATATAAAGAGTTGAAAAATTCTAATCATTCATTGAGCACCTATTATATGCCAGGCCCCATGCCAAGTGCTTTACAATCAGAATCTCATTTGAGGCTCACTCCACTGTGTGAGGCGGGTATTATGAGGGTCTCATCTTACAGATGAGGAAACTGAAACTCGCCCAATATCACACCACGTTAGGAAAGAAAAAAAAAGTTAATACCATAAGTGTAGTTGATTTATGATTCAACTATGAAGACTGGGATGGAAGGAAGCCCAGAAAAATGGAAACAGTTCATCTGATGGGGTGATAAGATTATCGGGGATGTTTTTCCCCTTGGTAAATATTTCTGTTGTTTTTGTACATTGATGCATTATACTACAGGGTAGAGAAGTTGGTTTCAAGCAGGGCTTTGCAGCCTCAGAGTGACATAGCGGAAAGTCTATGAGAAGCGGGGGGTCACGGACTGTCAACCTGGTGATAAATGTCCTAGGAGAAGACAAGCACCCTCCCCAGTCCCCCTCCCCACTCTCCATCCCCGCCTCCTCCCAGCCCACCTCCCAGCACACTCCCAGGCTCTTAGTGAATTGCTGGGTGTGCAGGGAGAGTTTGGGGGAAACCCCTTCTCCAGCTCAGGTTGACTTTGTAAAACTCACACAAATTTGCTCCTTTGGAACCTAGAGTGTTTTTTTTTTCCTTCTTCTTCTTCTCTTTTATGAATCAGCACAGAATTGGCCTGTGTGGGGGCCAGAGAAGTTTCTAGAATATAAATCTCGCTGAGGCCTGGTGCACCTCAGCCTACAGATACCTCCGTCCTCCCTCAGATTCCCTGCCTCATTAGGGGCACAGGCCAGGCTTACTTCAGCCCAGGCCCCAAGCTGCACCTTACCCTCCCTTTCTCCAGGGGCGCGAGCCCAGAGACAAGACTCCCACTCTCCCATTCCAAAGTCAATCTGTAGGGTCCCTGTAATCAACATGCATAAAGAGGGGAGAGGTCCCTGGGAGAAACGGTGGCTCCCCTCCCCTAAACTCAGCTACCCCCAGAACATGATGAGATGACACATGCCCTAGACTCCTCTCCACAAAGAGCCCCAAGTCAGGTGCCCCCACAGGTGCCATCCCTCTTTCCTCCCTCTCCCCGCAGGCTTAGCGACCCTCCCCACCGCCAAGCTGCTAATGAGAGCAGCAGACTGATTCACTTGTCCTCCTTCAAGTCCACCTGATGTAATATGTTGCCCCTCTGAGGGCATTTTCAGATCATCTGGGTCCCATGATCTTATTTCATAGATGAGTCAATGGAGGCTCAGAGCCATGAAGTGACTTGCCAAGATCGCCAGCCAGGAGGTGCCAGGCTGGGATTTCTTGCCCTACCACCATGCTGTACCATCCCCTTGTCTTGTTAAATGAGGTTTCTCATACACAGTATGTAAGGACTATGGTTTTGTTCATGAACACTACCTTCATCTTTCTTTCTTTCTTTTTTTTTGAGACAGAGTCTCACTCTGTCACCCAAGCTGAAGTGCAGTGGTGCAATCACAGCTCACTGCAGCCTCAAGTTCCCGGGCTCAAGTGATTCTCCTGCCTCCGTCTCCAGAGTAACTGGGACCACAAGTTTGCACCACCACGCCTTGCTAATTTTTATTTTTATTTTTTGATAGAGATGGGGAGGGGGCGAGTCTTGCTGTGTTGTCTGGGCTGGTCTCAAACTCCAGGCCTCAAGCAATCCTCCCACCTCAGTGACCCAAAATGCTGGGATTACAGGTGTCAGCCACTGTGCCTGGCCAACCGTCATCTTAATATCAGGCTGTGGAGAGGGAGCTGTAGTCAGGGAAAAGGAGCGATAGATGAGCTTGAGGGGTTGGGTCTGAAGAGGTGCTTGGAACCCCAAAAAGAGAGGCCAAGACTTGACCACAGGCCCCTCCCCAGTCCTGATCTGTTATATGCCAAGACTTGCAAATACCAGCTACCCAGAGGCATTGAGGGGGGAAAGGAGGACAAAAAGAGGTCAGCTATAAAAAACTAAAACTTGTCCCAAAATAAAGACTTAGAAACAAAGAATAAAAATTAAACACCACTTATCTTGTTATTCCTGGAGCCATCAGATTTTCAGTGATCTAATATCACTTTGACCGGTTTTTCTCTTCTATTCAAGCTTCTTTCTCATTGTGTTCACTTTGTAAGCTACTGCAAAAATTTTGGGGAGTGAACAAGACTTAAATCGTAAATAAGTAAGTGCAATCTATTGCTTTATCCTTATGGTGGTGGTTTATGTTGCCTAAGTTCAAAGCCGGGCTCTGTAGGGTACATGTGCTGGAATTCACTGATGGAGGGAACGTCTGTGTGGGGTCCTCCTTGGTGCCAGGTGCAGAGGTGCAGACAACCTGTGACCACACGCAACGTCTCAGTTCCACTCTTAAAGAACAGAGGCCCCAACCTCAACCTCAGAGGGTTTTCCAGCCCTGTTCCCGGACAAGCTGTCCCATGGTTCTGAAACTGACTGAAAGCGGAGGAGGGGAGCACACCACTCTGGGGGGAGCCCAAGAGACCAATCGCAACCACTTCCTCTGCCCCCTCAGTCATTATCCCAGACATCATCCATCGAACAACTATTTAACACTGGCTTGTGCCAGGCTCCATGTCACAGCTGGGAATTCATCAGTGACAAAACTGATGGAGCCCCTGCCCTAGATCCCACGGTCTAATGAGGGAGACAGATGCATAAGCAATTATAATTCCAGCCGGGCGTGATGGTGCACACCTGTAATCCCAGCACTTTGGGAGCCCGAGGTGGGAGGATTGCCTGAACTCAGGAGTTCGAGACCAGCCTGGGCAACGTGGTGAAACCACATCTCTACAAAAAAAAATACAAAAATTAGCTGGGCATGGTAGTGCATGCCTGTAGTCCCAGCTACTTGGGAGGCTGAGATATGAGGGTCGCTTGAGCCTAGGAGGTTGAGGCTGCAGTGAGCCATGACTGTGCCACTGCACTCCAGCCTCAATGACAGAGTGAGACCCTGTCTCAAATATATATATATATATATATGTGTGTGTGTGTGTGTGTGTGTGTGTGTGTCTGTGTGTGTATTTCCATGCAATAAATGCCACAAGAGAGGAAGGGAAGAAGTACAGAGGAGGGGTGTCCAATCCAGACCTGAGGGAGTCAGGATCTCTTCCCAGAGGAACTAAAATTTAAATTAAGACAGCAAGGCTCTATAAGACATAGGCCGGCATGGCAGACTAGCTCTCATGTTTCCTCTGCCTCCTGGACACAGAACAAGACTACATTTCCTAGCCTCCTTTGCAGTGAGGTGTGACTACGCCACTGAGTTTTAAGTTAATGTAATGTGGACAGTTGAGAAGCACCACTTCCAGGCCTGGCCCATATTCTTTGCTCATTCACTAGCTAAATGCAGAAGACTCCAATGTCCCAGAGGAAAGTAGAACCACAAGACCAAAGAGCCTGGATCCCTGAATCACCACATGGAAGACCTGTCCACCAATGGGGAGTTATTGCATGCATGAGAAATAAAGTTTGTTGTAAAGCCATGGAGATTTGGAGTTTATCTGTTACAGCAATTGGTATTACCCTAACTTATAACCAAGTAGGAGTGGGAGATAAAGTATGCCAGAAAAAAAAATTAGTAAAAGCGGTGACATGTGCCTGTATTCCCAGCTACTTGGGAGGCTGAGGTGGGAGGATCACTTGAGCCTAGGAGTGTGTGACCAGCCTGGACAACATAGTGAGACTCTGTCTGGAAAAAAAAGACTAACAACCAACCTAACTTTAGTGGGTAGCATTCAACCAAATGGACAGGAAAGAACAGAGGCTCTGAGGCAAATAATGGGATCAAACCCTGGCTCCATATTTCCTGGCTGTGTGATCTTGGGCAAGTTATTTAATATCTTTGCATTTTAGTTTCCTCATTTGTAAAATGAGGAAAAGAATATCTTCCTTGAAGGGTTGCAGAGAGTATTAAATAAATAGAACCTAGGATGGTTCCTAATACAAAAGGCTTATCAGATAATAAATCCCTTACTCCAAACTGTATGCATTCATAGAATGACATTTAACTAATAATATGCTTTGGTAACTGGTAACAGTAACAATAATAATAAACATTTACCGAGAACTATTTATGCTCCAGGCACTTTTCTAATTATTCACAATTATTAATTAATTCCATACTCATAGCCCTATGAATTACTTCCCCCCCACATTTTACAGATGAAGAAACTGAGGCACAGAGGTGTCGGTAACATGTCCAAGATTATCAGCTGGTACATGGTGGAACTGGAGTTTAAATCTAGGAAGGCATGGTTACAATTCCATGCTGCAGATGAAGGAACAGAGAGGTGGTGTAAATTGTTAAAGCCACACAGTCTTAAGGTGTTCTGGGGTTGAGGGCTCCAGCACCAGCCATGACTTCTTGGCATTCTGTAAGGGCACGGAGCAGACGGCCTCCTCTGACTCCGTGAGAAACACCATCCTTTGCATCTTGGCAGGTGTGCTGGTGGCTTTGGCAGTAATGACGCTGACCAAAACCAAAGACTGATCCTCAATCAACAGTGAGAAATCAGCAGGTGAACGCGCCCTGGGTCCCCTCCAGCAATGACACTGCAGCTCTCTCTGGCTGTGAAATGGAGGCTGAGTGGTTTGGGTTTTTAAAAGAATGACTTTTCCATCAGAGCTTTAAAGAGGCTTACACTGGAGCCACCTCATTTAGAAGTTTTCTTTTAAACTTTTTTTTAGTTAGTTTGTTTGTTTATTTATTTATTTTGAGACGGAGTCTCCCTCTGTCGCCCAGGCTGGAGTGCAGTGGCGGGATCTCGGCTCACTGCAAGCTCCGCCTCCCGGGTTCTCGCCATTCTCCTGCCTCAGCCTCCCGGGTAGCTGGGACTATAGGCGCCCGCCACCAAGCCCGGCTAATTTTTGGTATTTTTAGTAGAGACGGGGTTTCACCGTGTTAGTCAGGATGGTCTCCATCTCCTGACCTTGTGATACGCCCGCCTCGGCCTCCCAAAGTGCTGGGATTACAGGCGTGAGCCACCGCGCCCGGCCCTTTTCTTTTTTTTTTAAGTTTAAAAGGATTCTCTATCTCAGAAAAATGAAACAAAACGAAAACAGTTCTAAGAAATTGGGCCTCAGAGGGCAAACCTAAAGAAGAAACTGCTCCACAAGAAAGGGGCTGGACTTGGACTTGCCGAGCTTCCAAATGACCAGCAGAGGGCAGCAAAGACGCTGCCCAGAGAAGGCTGACGCCCCAGGATCTTCCTAGAATCATCCTCGAAGGAAGGGCTTTGTCCGTCACTCGGAGCATCCCCTAGACTTGGAGTCTCAGCTATTTAAAAAAGAATGGGCTTTGGGCTTGTTCTTCAGCTCATGTAGCTAATGCACAGGAACTTTGGAAAATTTGGGAGGTCTGGAAATATGTGAGTCAAATAATTATAATCCTGCCATCCAGAGAGAACTGCTGTTAATATTTTAATGAATATCCTTCTGGACAGATGTAGAAATGGATGGAAATTTAGATTATACATATACATATACATATACATATACATATACATATACATATACATATACATATACATATACATATACTTTTTTTGATTTCCTGAAACTGACATCAGTCAGTATATACGAATTGGTGGTCTGCCAGCAGGCTGGACGCAGTAGCTCACGCCTGTAATCCCAGCACTTTGGAAGGCCGAGGTGGGCAGATCATGAGGTCAGGAGTTTGAGAGCAGCCTGGCCAACATAGTGAAACCCTGTCTCTACTAAAGATACAAAAAATTAGCCGGGCATGGTGGTGCACGCCTGTAATCCCAGCTACTCAGGAGGCTGAGGCAGGAGAATCGCTTGAACCTGGGAGGTGGAGGTTGCAGTGAGCCAAGATCGCGCCATTGCACTCCAGCCTGGGTGACAGAGCAAGACTGTCTCAAAACAACAACAACAACAACAACAAAAACCCAACAGCAAAAAAAAGTATAGCCATATATATCTGCATGCATATATGGCTATATTTTTTGCCCTAGTGTCTCTCACTTGGGCAAGTCCCAAGTGAGACTTGGAGGACCAGCCTCTACTGCACCCAGCACAGGGGTGAGGAGCCGGCACAGCGAAGGGTGGGCGGGCAAGACCAGTGTCCTCTGGTGCCAGTGGTCATTCTGCTGATATATATCTGCATGCATATATGGCTATATTTTTTGCCCTAGTGTCTCTCACTTGGGCAAGTCCCAAGTGAGACTTGGAGGACCAGCCTCTACTGCACCCAGCACAGGGGTGAGGAGCCGGCACAGCGAAGGGTGGGCGGGCAAGACCAGTGTCCTCTGGTGCCAGTGGTCATTCTGCTGGTATATATCTGCATGCATATATGGCTATATTTTTTGCCCTAGTGTCTCTCACTTGGGCAAGTCCCAAGTGAGACTTGGAGGACCAGCCTCTACTGCACCCAGCACAGGGGTGAGGAGCCGGCACAGCGAAGGGTGGGCGGGCAAGACCAGTGTCCTCTGGTGCCAGTGGTCATTCTGCTGGCTCTCTTCATAGCCTGGGGCTAAGCTTTCTGCAGTCTTAGGGAGAGGAAGTCGTGGAGCTTTCTAGCTCAAAAATATTCTGCTGCATGAGCAGGTGCTCTGAGTTCGTTGAATTTCATCAAAATGAGTCATATCAAAGGTGTGAAAGAGTGGCAGGGTTTAAGGAGTTACCACATCCTGGTTCCACATGGTACATCATCCTTTAACTCCAGACAGAGGCACTACTCATTGGGAATTCAGGCTGCAGCAATGGGCATGGTGTTTTCTCTCCAAATGCAAAGACTTCGAACATTTCTTTGTCTTTGGATGTGGCCACCTATTCCCAGAGAAAAACATCAGCGTTCTTACTCTGCAACCCCTTTGCTCGTTGTTAAATGAGCTTCAAACCTAAAAAAAAAAAACAACCCACTGAAAGTGCAGCGATGCCTGAATTGAGTTTTAAATGAGACACAGGTGTTGACTAGGTGAAGCGATGGGGACATCCCACTACCCAGAATTATAAGCAACTCTTGTTTCTCCACACAAATAGATGGGCCACCGCTGATTTCCTAAGGGAATTCTTTGTCCTTGCTTTGGAGTGAGATAAATCCGGCTTTGAATATCAACTCCACTACATCCTTATTTTGTCCTTGGGCAAGTCACATAACCCTGGGCATTCCAAGGTAGAGCCAAGATTAAAATGTTGGAAGCGTTTAGAAGGAAGTAAGAGCTGTTCAGTCTGGCTGGAGCAGAGAATGAGAGGGGCCAGAGCAAGACGGGGCAGGGACGCCGCACTAGGGAAGCCCACCAGAAGCTGCCGCCGGATCTTAAGCAAGGGTTAAATCCTATGATGACAGATGATGTTTTTCCAGTCTCTCAAGAGTTATAGCAAAAACCAACAACATGCATTGAAGGTTGTATGTATTTTACACATATGAAACTACACATATAGTCCATTGGCAGCATTGTGTCCTATTCGGGTGACCATTATTGGCTCCCATAGGCAGTTTGGCAGGCTTCCTACCCAACCCCACTCTGCATCCCAGTTGCACACATGAGATAATTCCAGTGAGGGTTGTCCCCACCCTCTTAAATGTGTTGTGGTCACATTCACAGCTCAGATGGTCTTTCTTTCTTTCTTTCTTTCTTTCTTTTCTTTTCTTTTTCTTTCTTTCCTTCCTTCCTTCCTACCTTCCTTTCTTTTTTCTTTCTTTTTTCTTTCTTTCTCTCCTTCCTATCTTTCTTTCTTCCTTCTTTCCTCTTTGTTTCTTTCTTCCTTTCCTCCTTTCTCTCTCTTTCTTTTTCTTCCTTCATTCCTTCCTTCCTTCCTTCTTTCTTTCTTCCTTTCCTCCTTTCTCTTTCTCTCTCTTTCTCTCTCTCTCTTTCTTTCTTTCTTTCTTTCTTTCTTTCTTTCTTTCTTTCTTTCTTTCTTTCTTTCTTTCTTTCTTTCTTTCTTTCTTTTTCTTTCCTCTAGATAGAGTTTCACTCTTGTTGCCCAGGCTGGAATGCAATGGTGCAATCTCAGTTCACTGCAACCCCTGCCTCCTGGGTTCAAGTGATTCTCCTGCCTCAGCCTCCTAAGTAGCTGAGATAACAGGTGCGTGCCACCACGCCTGGCTAATTTTGTATTTTTTGTAGAGACAGGGTTTCACCATGTTGGCCAGGCTAGTATCGAACTCCTGACCTCAGGTGATCCACCTGCCTCGGCCTCCCAAAGTGCTGGGATTACAGGTGTGAGCCGCCGCGCCTGGCCTCAGATGGTGTTTCTTAACCTCTGTCTGTCAATCATGCTTAAGCCTAGCCAAGTTGGGGTGAGTGGTAGGAAAGGAAAGAGGTCTTTTTAGCAGAGAGGGACATCTGGGTGCTCAGCAGAGAGGTAATATTCAGAGGTGAGGTCTTCTCGAGACTTGGCACTCCCAGGCATTCACGCTGACCCATCAGAATTCATCATGAAGTTGGAGCATGATATGGTTTGGCTTTGTGTCCCACCCAAATCTCATCTCAAAATGTGATCCCTACATGTCAAGGGAAAGAGATGATTGGATCATGGGGTTGATTTCCCCCATGCTGTTCTCGTGATAGAGAGTGAGTTCTCACGAGATCTCATGGTTTTATAAGTGTTTGGAAGTTCCTCCTTCATGCTTCTCTCTCCTGCTGCCTTGTGAAGAAGGTGCTTTGCTTCCCCTTCACCTTCTGCCATGATTGTAAGTTTCCTGAGGCCTCCCAAGCCATGCGGAACTGTGGGTCAGTTAAACCTCTTTCTTCATAAATTACCCAGTCTCGGGTAGTATCTTTACAGCAGTGTGAGAATGAAGTAACATAGAGCTTCCTTCTCAGACCTCTATTGTGGCAGCTTTTGTTTGTTTTATATATATAAAACAACCATGGTTGTTGCAAGGGTTAACTCCAGCAGGCCTGGAATTGACATAGGCTGATTTACCGAAATAAGAGCTATTCCTGCACAGCACTGAGCCCTGGTCAAGGCATTAAAGATACTCATTAACAGTGCTGTTTTGTAACCATGAGTCTGAGGGATTTCAACGTGGTTTGTACTGGCTTATCAGCAGTGTTTATTTTTATTTTTACTTTGTTCAGCATTGTGTATTGATAACAGTGAGATTGATGATTTGTTCCTGGTCTTGGTGAGACCCCTGGAGGACTGTGCTTTTGGGGCTGGTGACACAGCAAGAAACATGCCTACATGAGCAGAGGGGTATATGACACCCTGCTGGAAACTCCAGCTTGGGCTTCCCAGTTCTGAGGTGTTCTGTGACACACAGGTGACTCTAGAGAGAAGGTATGTCTTGCGTGGCTCTTCCAGAGGTGGAACAATTGGAGCTTGCACCTGCCCTCTCTGGATCCCTTGATGTCTTACTTAACTGCTGTTGCATTAAATGAATGGTTTGCTGCAATAAGCAGTAGCTTTGTAAGCACTGTCAACTTGAACTCTTTGAATCTTCTTTAGCAATCAAACCCTGCCTAATGACCATTGTTAGTGCACATAGGATGTAAGCAGCCCTGGTTTTCTTTTTTTAAAAAATAGAGACAGGGTTTTGCTACGTTGCCCTGGTTTTTAAAAGGTTTAGATCTACACAAATAGCCTGGATAAAGGTTCATAATCTAAGTGAAATGAGTAAGTCGCAAACTAAGATGTAAAACATGATTTCATCTTTATTTCTTTTAAATGTGTGATGCCGTGTGTGTGTGTGTGTGTCTATCTAAATATATTTGTAGAAAATTAAGGGAAAAAACAAAGAAGTGTAAAGAAGTGTGCACACTAAATCATAAATGAGGGTTACCTTGTTGGGAGGTATGTGAAATGAGGGAATAGAATGGACTGGAATGTCTACTTCTCCGATTTGAATGTTTTTGTCCTCTCCGAAATTCATGTTGAAATTTAATCCCAATGCAACAGTATTAAGAACTGTGGCCTTTAGGAGATGGTTGAGGCATGAGAGCTCTGCCCTCATGAATGGGATTAAATGCTCTCATAGAAGGGTGTGATAGAGGGAGTTTGCCCCCCTTCCACCAGCTCTGTCCCTTCCACCATGTGAGGACACAGCGTTTCTCTCCTCTGGTGGACAGAGCAACAAAGCGCCATCTTGGAAGCAGAGACAGGGCCCTCACCAGACACTGAAACTGCCGCCATCTTGGAAGCAGAGACAGGGCCTCACTAGACACTGAACCTGCCAGCACCTTGATCTTAGACTTTCCATCCTCCAGAAATGTGAGAAATAAATTTCTGTTCTTTATAAATTATGAAGTCTGTAGTATTCTGTTGCAGAGGTACAAACAGACTAAGAAATTGGTACCAGAGAAGTAGGCCTGCTGCTATAACCAGTATCTTGAAATATGGAAGTGGCTTTGGAACTGGGTAAGGGGTAGAGGATGGAATAGTTTTGAAGCATATGCTGGAAAAAGCCTGTATTGTCATGACCAGAATGTTAAAGGAGATTCCAATGAGGGCTGTGAAGAGGAAAGTTGTAGAGACAGCCTCAGTGTTAGGGATTATCTAAATGGTTGTGAACAGAAGGCTGGTATTCTAGAAAAAGCCAATCTGATGAAGTCTTAGATGAAAACGAGGAATGTCTTATCAGAAGTTGGAGGAAAGGCTATCCTTGTTATAAAGCAGCAAAAACTCGTCTGAATTGTATCTGTATCCTACTGCTTTGTGGAAAGCAGAATTTAAGATCAATGAACTGGCATATTTAGCAGAAGAAATACCAAAGCAAAGTGTTCAGGGTGTGGATGGCTTCTCTTAACTGCTCATGGTAACATGTGAGAAGAGAAATAATTTAAAGATGGATTTTTTTTTGATGGAATTTCCCTCTGTTGTCCAGGCTGGAGTGTAGTGGCACGATCTTGGCTCACTGCAACCTCTGCCTCCCGGGTTCAAGTGATTATTTTGCCTCAGCCTCCTGAGTAGCTGGGACTACAGGTGCGCGCCACCATGCCCGGCTAATTTTTGTATTTTCAGTAGAGACGGGGTTTCACCATATTGGCCAGGCTGGTCTCCAACTCCTGACCTTGTGATCTGCCCGCCTCGGCCTCCCAAAGTGCTGGGATTACAGGCGTGTGCCACCGCACCCGGCTTAGAGACGGAATTTTTAATTAAAAGGGAAGCAGAATGATTTGGAAAATTCTCAGCATGGCCATGTAAAGAATAAAAAAGCATGTTAGGAGAGAAAGCCAAGGGTGTGGCCAAGTGACCACAGATTAGTAAATCTGTTAATCTGTTGATAAACAGGTTAGTATAGACTGAAGGAAGCTGGATGCTGTTCACCAAGATGATGGAAGAATAACCCTGAAAGCATTTCTGAGATCTCAGAGACTGCCCTACCCATCACAGTCAGGGCATTGAGGGCAAAATAATTTCAAGGGAGGGGCCCAGGGCCCCTGTGGAACTTGGGGTCCCGGGGATCCCGGTCCAGGGCCTCCTCAAGTCTCTGCTAACTGTATTCTGGCATGGTGCTCCTTGGTAGCCCCAGCTGTTGCTCAGGTGGGCCCAGGTGCAGCTGAAGCCACCACTCCAGAGGACACAAGTGGTGAACCTTGGTGGCTTACATGTGGTGCTAACTCCACAGGCATGCAGTGACGAGCTGCAGAGGCAGGGCTACCTCCACCTGGATTTCAAGGGATGCCTCAGAGAGCCTCAGGGCCCAGGCAAAGAAATGGCACAGGGAAGGGGCTGCTGTGGAGAGTCCCCACCAGGGCAGTGCCTAGTGGAGTCCTGGCAGCGGGGCCACTCTTGAGACCCCAGGACAGTAGAGCCTCAGGAGTGCAACCCCAGCCCTGGAGCGCCAGTGGCAGGCTACTCACCCCCAAAAGGCGTCTCCACCTTGTTTTATGTGATTAAAAAGAAGAAATGGGGTCATAGGCCTTTAAAAAAATTAGTAGACTTTATTTATTTATTTATTGAGGCAGAGTCTCACTCTGTCACCCAGGCTAAAGTGCGGTGGCACGATCTCGGCTCACTGCAACCTCCATCTCCCAGATTCAAGTGATTCTCGTGCTTCAGATACCCAAATAGCTGGGACCACAGGCTCCCACCACCATGCCTAATTTTTGTATTTTTGATAGAGATGGGGTATTGTCATGTTGGCCAGGCTGCTCTCAAACTCCTGACCTCCAGTGATCCACTGTCCTTGGCCTCCCAGGGTGCTGGGATACAGGCGTGAGCCGCTGTGCCTGGCCAATAGATTTTAATTTTTAGTTTCACAGAAAAGTTGAGTATAGGTACAGTTTCTATATATTCCCTCTTCTCCACACTGCCTCACCCTGTGTACCGCCTCCCTGACAGTTTCCCCTATTGTTAATAACTTGCATTAGTGTAGTACACTTATTACAATTGATAAACCAAAAAGATACATTGTTATTTAAAAAAGTCTACAGTTTAAGGTTCATTCTTTGGTTGTATAGTTCTATGGGTTTTGACAGATGCATAATATCGTGTATCTATCATTAACAGTATCATAGGGCAACGTTTCACCACCCTCGTAATTCCTTGTGCTGCACCGTTTCTCCCTCTCTCCTCCCTGCAGCCCTGGCAACCGTAGATCTTTTGATGATCTCCCTCCTTTACCTTCTCCAGAATGTTACATAGTTGGAATCATGCAGTATGTCGCTTTTGCAGACTGGCTTCCTTCACTTAGCAAAATACATTTAAGGTTCCTCCCTGTCTTTTCATGGATTGACAGCTCATTTCTTTTCATCGCTAAATAATATTCCACCTTTTGAATATATCATAGTTTATCCATTCACCTATTGAAAGACATCTTGGTTTCTTCCAATTTGGGGTGATTATGAAAAAAGCTGCTATCAACTTTCGTGTGGACATAAGTTTTCAATTCATCTGGGTCAATACCAAGACATGTGCTTGCTGGATTACATGGTAAGAGTAAGTTTGGCTTCATGAGAAATTGCCAAACCGTCTTCCAAAGTGGTTGCACCAATTCTGCGTTTGCACCAGCAGTGAATGAGAGTTCCTTTTGCTCCACATCCTCGCCAGCATTTGGTGTTCTCCGTGTTTTGGATTTCAGCCACTCTAATAGGTGTGTGCAGGTAGCTCATTGTTTTAATTTATAATTCCCTAATGGCATATGATGTTGAGCATCTTTTCATGTGCTTATTTGCCATTTGCGTATCTTCGAGGTGTCAGTGCGGATCTTCTGCCCATGTTTTAATTGGTTTGTTTGCTTTCTTATTGTTGAGTTGTAAGAGTTCTTTGTATATTTTAGTTATAAGACCTTTATCAGATATGTGTTTTACAAATATTTTCTTCCAGTCTGTGGCTTTTCTTTCCAAAGGTCATTTTTAAAAACACTTCTGGGCTTTTCAAGTAAATGTTTAGATTTTAAAAATGAAGGTAAATACGAATGACTTCTCTTAGTTTAGCCACCCCTGCCTGGCTAGACTTCTAGTATAAATTTCCTAGTAAGGAGGAATTGGCTGCAAAATGAAATCCACACCTCTGTGTTATACTTGTGAACAGCTTTTCTATTTATGTAACTAATTTAGTAACTCTCATTGTTTATCTGTCAGTTTATGAGGAAAGAAAATCCCCCTTTTGGCAAATCCGAATGAAAGAACTGCAAGTCCTGTGTGTGGGAGGGGTAGAAACTCTAAGGCCCCACGTGGATCGTCTGCTCCTTGTGCAGGAGCCCAGTCAGGGATGGGGTTCAGCTGCAGGGGCCACCGACCCTCCCACCCACCTGAAGCAGAGCAGGGTCTGGCCCACTTGACCAGGCACCGACCCAAAAAGCCCTTCCCTAAGAAGCTGAATGTTTCACTCCTGCTTGTTTCATGAGCACCAGGAACTGTGACCTTGGACTCCCCTCACAGTTCCCTTCCTTTCTAATGAGGGAAGGGGTGTCTCTGGAGCCTGGGCTAGAGGCCGCTTTAGAAATGCAAAGGTTTCAGCTGCTTGAAGGGAATGCATTTGAGGGAAGTCTCTTCTGGTTTCTTCTGTGCCTTCAAAGAGGAACAGAGCTTTTTCAGTAACTCTGTATGAAGTCAGGGAGTTCAGACGCTCAAGTCCCTGGGCCCCAAGGAGATTTCTTCTCAGGTGGTGTTATGCAAATAGAAGGGTGGACTAAGTCTTTATTTCAAGAAAAGAAAGGCAGAGAAGGAGAATAATTATACGTTTCACATTTGGGCTATAAATACTGCAGTGAATAGGGCTAGAAGGGAAGGATTTGGGGGCTGGCGGGGAGCTGAATCTGCAAAGCCTGTGACTAGCTTTTCAGGATTTCTTCTTTCAGGAAGGGCAGTCAAGCTGGGATTGAGTGTAACGGCACCAATTAGAAAAGCCTCCCTGTGGCTGGGCACGGTGGCTCACACCTATAATCCCAGCACTCTGGGAGGCCAAGGCAGGCAGGTCACTTGAGGTCAGGAGTTCGAGACCAGCCTGGCCAACATGGCAAAAACTCCGTCTCTACTAAAAATACAAAAATTTAGCCAGGCGCAGCAGTGAGCGCCTGTAGTCCCAGCTACTGGGGAGGTTGAGGCAGGAGAATCGCTTGAACCCAGGAGGTGGAGGTTGCAGTGAGCCGAGATGGCACCACCGCACTCCAGCCTGGGCAACGGAGTGAGACCCTGTCTCAAAAAAAAAAAAAAAAAAAAAAGAGGCTCCCTTTGGATGAAGCCACCACTACAGGGATGGCCTCTTGGTCACCTGAAAGAGGCAACTATGAAATGGCCAAGAAGAAAGTGGTTCACGCATTGTTGAACTGACCACTGGGATTGGGGTGGGGGAGGCCAGGACTGCCATCAAAAGACAAAAATGTTGACATGCATGAGAGTGACCCTTGGGGGAACAGAATAAGATGGTCACCAAACCCCGAGGTACACCCAGCTGGAGTGGGGCTTTATTTCACCTTAGAAGGAAATTTACCCGAGCTTAGGTAGAAGTCTCTTGTCGCCCCAGACCTGCCCCAGTCCAGCACTGACCACAGGGACCGGTCTTCCTCCCCGAGAGACTGTGCCCTCCCTGAAGGCAGGGATTTTGTTGGGTCTATATTTGCTTTCCAGCCTGGAAAGAGCTCAGTTACTTTCGGTGAAGTCCAGTGGTGCCAGCTGTGTGATGTTGGACAAGTCTCTTATCTAAGCCTCAGTTTCTTCGACAGTAAATATTAATATAAGACTCGCCTCACAAGAACTCAGCATATGGTTGGTACTCAATAAAAACTAGTACCTGTCCCTTAGTTCCCAAGGAAGCCATCCTCTTAGCTGCAATTATGCAGTTTCTTTTTCACAGCCAGGTAATATGAGTCCATAAACCTTTATAATCATCATCTACCTTTTAGCCTAGAAAACAATGTATCAGGATATTAGAATTAAAGTGTTGTGGCTTTTGTTTGTTTGTTTGTTGAGATAGAGTCTCGCTCTGTGGCTCAGGCTGGAGTTCCGTGGCACGATCTCGGCTCGCTGCAACCTCCACTCCCTGGGTTCAAGTGATTCTCCTGCCTTAGCCTCAGCCTCCCCAGTAGCTGGGACTATAGGCACCTGCCACTATGCCCGGCTAATTTTTGTATTTTTTGTACAGGCAGGGTTTCACCACGTTGGCCAGGCTGGTCTCGAACTCCTGACCTCAAAGAATCCACCCACCTCAGCCTCCCAAAGTGTTGGAATTACAGGCGTGAGCCACAGTGCCCGGCCAAGAATTAAAGTATTGATGGAGACACCAAGGCTTAGATGTGAAGCCGGATCACCACTTGCAGACTGTACACATTTTAAAGAACTTTTTACATAATGATTGGACCCTTCTGCAGTTTGAGGAGATAAGAAGGGCTCCAAGCACAAAGGTCGGGGGGACATTTTTAGAGCAATTTCTTCGAGAGAACCTTGCGTTGCTGAGTCTCTGACTTCCTTCAGGCAGGAGGGAGGGGCTGCTGCCTCCTCTTCTTGAGCCCTGTGAGAAGGAGACCTCCATGGAACCATGTGAAGAAGTGGTTGTTCTGGGCTAAGTCTGTATATCCTGTATGTCTCTGGGCAAGGGACAGAAAATGGGATGTCAAGGGCTTCCCAAAGCCAGCGCTGGACTGTCCTGGGTTCTGTCCAGTAGCGCCACGTGGAGGATGCCGGGATGTACCAGCAAGATGCTAGAAGTGAGAGGCAGTCTCCTGGGACATACAGGAAAGAGGTTCCTGAACATAGAAGCCTCAGAAGAACTCACAAAGGTACCTATGAAAGAAAGGATCAGCTTTATATGTGCCAACTCCAGTGCACCCAAAGCCAGCTCAGAATCCCAACAGGTCAATGTCATGAGGCCATTCCTGCACCCTCGCCACTGCTCTCACCTCCTGCTCCATCCTTGGGAGGGGTCAGAAACTGGCCAGACAGCTTGGGAGGGAGGAAGGGAATAAGGGAGGAGGAGGAGATGGGCAAGGGGAGAAATAGAGAAGAGACAGTGGGTTCTCCCTGCCCCACTGCAGGCCACTAGCCTGCTGCAGGCCCAAGCTAGGGAGTGGGGAAGATTTGAACATTGAATAAAACCTGGGACTTTGAGTCTTAGACTGGAGCTTCTAATTAATAAATTATGCTTAGTATGGCGGAGGACTGTCTGCAGAAAAGCAGACAGAGTGAGCAGAAAAGTTGCTGGAACTTTCATCTGGGGCAAGAAAGGTGATCCTTATTGGGTACATTTCAAAGTGGGGAATGACATATAAAGTTTATTTTAATTTTTCGTGAGTTGTGCATTTGAAATAGCCAACCTTATGGACCATGGATGCCTCTAGCTCTACTGGGTCTTACAAGGTGTGAGTGGCAGAGCAGTTTGTACTGAAGCCTAGATCTGCTACAGAGCCCTTCCTTGCTCTAGGCCCCACTCAAAACTGGCAGGTTGGCCAGGCATGGTGGCTCATGCCTGTAACCCCAACACTTTGGGAAGCTGAGGAGGGAGGATCACTGGAGCCCGGGAGTTTAAGACCAGCCTGGGCAACATGGCAAGACCCTGTTTCTACAAAAAATATCAGCCAGGTGTGGTGGTGTCCTGTGGTTGCAGCTGCTCAGAAGGCTGAGGCAGGAGGATTACTTGAGCCCAGGAGGTCGAGGCTGCTGTGAGCCGGGTCTACACCATGGCACTCCAGCCTGGGCAACAGAGTGAGACCCTGTCTGAAAACAAAACAAAACAAAACACTGGCAGCTTTCCAAGGCACTGACAAATGGGTTAGAGGACCACTCCTTAGTGTGGTATATATGCTGCCTCCAAAATCCAGAGAGGTCCGCTGGGCCCGTGCCTCTTTCTTAGTGATAGGGAGTAAAGTGCAATAACCTGCCCTTTATTTGGAATGAGATGCTTCAGAATGCCTCAGACACTGCACCACTGTAAACATCCTCAGCGTGGCAGGCCCAGAATCCTCATGAGGCCTCCTTGCCCACATCACGTGCTCGTGCGCCACTAGGGCCTCTGGAGCGCTTGCAGCTGCTGCCCTGTAGGTCTGATTAGCACAATGCAGCACGCAATGGGAGCAGGATTCTGTGGAATGTCAAGGAGATCAAAGCTCCTGTGGATTACACAATGTGGGGCAGTAGAAGAGTTACAAATCCTCCACCTGGAGAATAAAAG
The DNA here is from genome assembly GCF_000001405.40 of Homo sapiens. NCBI lineage: Eukaryota > Metazoa > Chordata > Mammalia > Primates > Hominidae > Homo > Homo sapiens. Next base: position 75,476,618 of record NC_000014.9, on the reverse strand, counting down.
GGAAAAACATTTATTCACTGTCTCTGCCTCCCACCTCTCAATTAGTCAAGGGAGACCCTACAGGCATTAACTCCCCAAATGTCCAGCTTTCCATATGGGCAAGTGCCAAGGAGGCGGCCACAGAGGCCCCCGAGGACAGGAAGTGGGAGGTACAGGGTGTGCACCTGTAGGGAGGCTTTGTCAGGTTACACCTGTGTAAAGTTGCTCACCTGTTCAGAACTGGTCATAGAACAGAGTCAGAGGATTTTAAGTGGATCAGAACAGGTGTCCAGTACTGACCACCCAGGGGTGTACCCTGCTTCAGAGAGGTAGAGGCTGACACGAACATGTAATTACTTCACAAATGTTCCAAAGCATTAGTAGTTGCTTCTTTAGGAATCACTCAAAGAGTCAGTTTACGAGCTAAACAAAAAAAAATCAGTCCCGGGCCAGGCACGGTGGCTTATGCCAGTAATCCTAGCACTTTGGGAGGCCGAGGCGGGTGGATCACCTGAGGTCAGGAGTTCGAGACCAGCCTGGCCAATATGGTGAAACCCTGTCTCTACTAAAAATACAAAAATTAGCCAGGCGTGGTGGCACATGGCTGCAGTCCCAGCTACTCGGGAGGCTGAGGCAGGAGAATCTCTTGAACCCAGGAGGCAGAGGTTGTGGTGAGCCAAGATCGTGCCACTGCACTCCAGCCTGGGCGACAGAGGGAGACTCCATCTAAAAAAAAAAAAAAAAAAAAAAAATCAGTCTCACAATATTTAGTTTTTAAAGCCAAAACAGTATGTGCACTTTACCTAACCTCCTTATTAACAATAAGTTAGCTATTTCCAAAGAACAAAGATATGCTAGTATGACGAACAAGCTGATTTCAGAATTTCAGAACTATAATATAAAGGAATAGGACCTGCATCAATCTCATTACTTTGCATTTAATGTGTGTCTGCTTGTATCTGTGAATACATGTATTTGTGTATCTACATGTGTATCTGTTTGTTGTGCATGTAACTATGCTTGTGTCTGTATCATGTCACACATCTGTGAGTTTGTGAGTCTGTAGATTATATGTCTGTGTATAGTGTGTGTTGACCTTCTGCTATGTGCCAGGCACCGTGACGGGCACTAGGGATGCACCACACAGGGACTCCATCCTCATGGCACTTACATGGGAAATAGCCTGTCTTGCCTAGTAGTGAGAAGGGTCATATTAGGTTGGTGCAAATGCAATTGCACCAACCTAATAGTTAAGAACCTCCAATTCTGAATATCCTGCTATGGCAGGCAGAATCATCTGCTCTCCAAGATGTCCACCTTCTAATCCCTGGAACCTGTGAATATGTCACGTGGCCAGGGGGAATTAAGGTTGCAGGTGGAATTAGGGTTGCTAATGAGCACACGTTAAAATAAGGAGATTATCTGGATTATCGGGGTAGACCCAATGTTGTCACAAGGGCCCTTAAAAGATGGAATAGGGAAGGTTGGGCACGGTGTCTCACGCCTGTAATCCCAGCACTTTGGGAGGCCGAGGCGGGTGGATCACCTGAGGTCAGGAGTTTGAGACCAGTCTGGCCAACATGGTGAAACCCCATCTCTACTAAAAAATACAAAGAATTAGCGGTTTGTGATGAGGGGCACCTGTAATCCCAGCTACTTGGGAGGCTGAGGCAGGAGAATCCCTTGAACCCGGGGGGCGGAGTTTGCAGTAAGCCGAGATCGTGCCATCGCAGTCCAGCCTGGGCAACAAGAGCGAAACTCTGTCTCAAAAAAAAAAAAAAAAAAAAAAAGGATGGAGAAGGTTGGGAAGAGGGAGGCAGGGAGTCAGCGTCATAGCAATGGGTGAGAAAGATGTGTGGCCATTGCTGGCTTTGAAGGTAGAATGCGGGCAGCCTCCAAAACCTGGAAAAAGCAAGAAAGTAGATTTTCCCCGAGAACCTCCAAAAAGAAAGCAGTCCTGCCAACACCTTGATTCTAGCCCAGTAAGAAGCATTTTGGGCTTTGGACATCCAGAAATGCAAGACAAAATCTGTGTTGTTTTAAGGGATTAAATCTGTGATAGTTTATTATGGCAGCAACAGAAAACGAATATACCTGTCAAAACTGGGTTCCCATCTTCAAAGGCTTCCCCTCTGCTTGCCTTCCAGTCCAGAGCTCCACTTGTAGGCGCAGTACAGTTGGCTTTCGAGCAGGGCTTGGATTGAAAAGTCAGCATGTAAGGAAGAAGTCTAGAGTCCAGATGAACCTTGAACACGCCTTAATTGCCCCTCCCGTAGAGAGCAGGGACCAGGATCCACTGAGTGTAGAGCAGAACAACATTCCTCAAGGTGTCCTCACCCCGGGGCACCCTCCCGCAGGGCTCAACCAGCTAACCTCTTTCCACCCTTTGAATTGTCTCTCTCTCTCCCTTCAGGCATATAATTAAATTTGCATAAATTCAAAGAGCATATGCTGCAATCCCATTGTAATTTCAGATTTGTTTTTATTTCCTGAGTTTGCTAAGGCAATAATAAAAACAAAACCTCCTATTTGTATTGTGGCTTGTTCTCTTTTATTGCAAAGAATATCAAATATACAGAGGAGTGTGGAGAAGATAGCCCACATCTGTGCACACATCACCCACCTCTGAAAAATCCTGTCATTCTACATTTGATGGGGATTTTAAAAAAATAAATGAAATGTTATGTGTATAGTTGAAGTTGAAGTCCAGCGTCCTACTTACCCTTGCAGTGGCATCCCTAGTTCCCTCCTCTCCGCGGCCCTCCCAGGAGCACTCCCTATGACTGATTGTGATATTGACAGCATTCTTGTGCAGGCTTTTATACCTCTATTACCCAGATGTGTGTGTAGCCATAAACAATAAAGTATCAACGTATACATTTAGTTAGAAATATGACATAAGTGGTATCCTTCCGCAGTTCACTCCCCTACCCTCCATCTCAACAGTAGGTTTCTGAGATTTATCCATATTGATACATATAGCTCTGGTTCATTCTTTTTTACCTGTTGAGTAATATTCAATTTTAGGAAAATACCACAATTTATTTGTTCTTATGCTGATCATCATTTAGGTTGTTTTCAACTTTTTAAAAATACAAACAAAGCCATCAGTGAACATTCTTGTACATTTCCTTTTGCCCCTGTGCTAGAGTTCCTCCCAAGACTAGGAGGAAAACTGCTAGGTCAAAGGATGCGTTTAGCTTTAGTTTTACTGGTTATTTCCAAATTGCTTTGCACAGTTTCTCACTGGCAGCATATCTAAGTTTCCTTTAATCCACATTTTTTTTGTTTTGTTTTTTTTGAGATGGAGTCTCGCTCTGTCACCCAGGCTGGAGTGCAGTGGCGCAATCTTGGCTCACTGCAACCTCCACCTCCCAGGTCCAAGTGATTCTCCTGCCTCAGCCTCCCGAGTAGCTGGGACTACAGGCACGTGCCACCATGCCCGGCTAATTTTTTGTATTATTAGTAGAGACAGGGTTTCACCGTGTTATCCAGGGTGGTCTCAATCTTCTGACCTCATGATCCACCCATCTTGGCCTCCCAACCTTTAATCCATATTCTTACCAACACATACTTGTTTCTGCCCATCTGATAGCTAAAGCGTCTTGTCTTTCTCAGGCCATGGTTGCATTCATCAACTCGATTGATTCTCATAGGAACCCTGGGCAGAGGTGGCACAGGTCTTATGTGTGACCACCTGGCAGGAGGGCACACTGAGGCCCAGGGAGGGAATGATGCATCCAGCATGGCTGGTTGTGACCAGTCAGGAGCTGAACAGATCCAGGAGTCTGCGATCCCAGGCATTCATCACACCATAGGGACCACGTACAGGGTCAGAACACAAACTTGGCAGCCCATCTTTACAGAATAAAACATATTTAAATAACCTGTACTATGTAGATATCAATAACTACCGACACTAACAGAGGACAAAATAATTACCATTTTAGGGAGCTTTTATTTCACAAAACACTTTGTATATCCATTCCTTTTTTGATCTTGATAACTCCATAAAAAGACTTGGATTATTACTGTTCCCACTTCACAGATAAGAAAAATGAGGTTCACAGCTAGTCAATAGAAGATTACATCATGAACCCGTTTGCCTTTAAGGTGTGTCTTCTGTGAACACCCTTGGAGATGGTTTGCCTGAGACTTGGGAATTCTTAACATGTACTGTGAGCACAGGTGGGTCTGTGCCATCTCTCCCGGCTTCCTGCACAAGTTCCCTGGCAACTGAGGTCACACCACAAACACATTTTTCCTCTCATGGGGAGGCTCAGCCTCAGGTTTTATGCACCTGAAGTCAGACTGACAATAACATCTTGGCTCTGCCACCTAACACCTGTGACCTTGGGCAGGTTACCTCTTCTGTGTGCCTCGGTTTTCTCATCTGTAATGTTGGAACGCTAGCACCTACCCCCCAGTCAGGGTGCACAAAGCAGTTGAGGTCACACATGCACAGTGGCAGGTGCCCAGAAGAAACTCAAATGCTGGCTCTTGCAATGAAGCCTATAATTGTGACTTCTAGCCACAGGAGCAGCCAGTGGTCCTGGTGAGGAAGGCTCCGCACAGCACAAGTCACTGGTGTGGTGACTTTGGAAGACAGCCCACCTGCACAGGCTAAGGAGGCTCTATTTTGGAGATGCCAGCTCCCGGTGGCCAAGCACAGGACCAGGGAAGCCACAGCCAGTGGCACACGGCAGTCCTGTAAGAACATCCACTAGGTCACTGGAGGGACCCTGGTAAGTCCACTTCATTTTTCTCATGGCTTGAAAAATATCAAAGGATTACAGCGCGAGGGGTTCCTGATGCAGAACTGACACTGCCTCACCTGCATCGTCCGGACCGACAGCCTCAAGACCCCCGAGACAGAAGGCAACCCGCTGCCACAACCTTCTGCCACAGCTGACAGTGAGAGGACCAGGTCCTGTTTCTAGGGCGGGGTGCAGGGGAGTCCACACCAAGTGTGTTGGGTGGAGGGAAACTGAGAGGAGTGAGCGAGGGAGGGATCACAGGTGTGTTAATCACCATTCTCCACTTCTGCCCATCCCAGAAGGCCTCGTCCACAATTTGGGAAGCAACCCAGGTTCACTGCTGTTCTTGACACGAAGTCATCACCAGCAACTAGTTATCCTAAGTCCAGGGATGGAGGAGAAAGAACACATGATTAGAATGCAGGAGTCAAGTTTAGTTGGGTAAACTGTAGCCTTTGCAAGCTTCAGTATACAAGGAAGCTAAAAACACCTCTCCCGCCTTCCTCATGCGTGACATGCCTTGAGAACTGCCGAGTGCCAGGTACACAGCAGGCACTGAGTGAATGCCACTGAGCTGCTCCGGCCCTGGGTGGCAGGGATTCAGCTGTCGAGGTGAGGGGGCAGAGAAGCCATCCACACCCTTCCCTGGGTCAGACACACATTGACCAGGGTAGTTGGTTCACTCTGTGATCATGGGACAACCTGGAACTCTATCCAGCCTTCCCAGAAACTAAATCTATAACTGTGGCCTCATAAGCTTCCTATTCAACCATGAGGACAATCATAGTGGGTTGGTGACAGGAGGAGAGTCACAGGCCTCTGGAGGGAGAGTTCAAACACCAGCTCTATCCCTTGCTAGCTGGGTTACCTTGGATAAGTCGCTTACCTTCTCTGAGCCTCAGTTAAACCATCTGTAAAATGAGAAGAATCGTGCCTAGTTTGTGCTCTTGTGAGAAGGGAAGAGACTATGTCTGCTTGTCACAAAATAAGTCTTCAACAAATGGTGTCTGCGAGTTTAATTCCCTGGACCTCTAATTCGCCATCTGTGAATTGGGGACAAGTGCTGTTCCCTGGCAAGGCTGCCATGAAGACGAAATGAGACAACTTATGGAGCAAGCACAGGATTCACTCCTTACTGGAGGCCCCACAAGGGCAAGACTTAGGTCTGTTTCATCCTCCAGTGAATTCTCAGGGCCTGGCACACACAACAGGCCCTCAGAAAACATCTGCAGAGTGAGCGAACACTCTGACTGCTCTCAAAATAGTAACTGCAGGTGGCTTAATGTCTCTGAGCCTTAGCTTCCTCATCTGTGAAATAGGAGAGCTGTTGTGAAAATGAACAGGCCTATAGCAGAGGCTCCAAACAGTCTCCGACCCTGAGAGGGCCTTGCACCCATTCCCCAGGCAGACACCACGCAAGGCGGCTATGTAAGTAAGAGCAATGTTTACTGAGCGATACAGGACTGAGTACTATGAAGGGTTTACAAGGATGGAAATGCACCCCGCCCCCGCCCTGGCCACCCCCGACACCCAGAGACTACAGTACTTAGGAGTTACACACAACGGCCGTAACTGGTGGCTATCTGTTCATAACAAACAAACCATAGCATATTTATACTGTATCACATCGAGTGATTATAGAAATCCATATATATATTGCTTGTATAAAATCTTTTTTTTTGTAAAAAATATTAAAAAAAAAAAAAAAAAGGAAAGTATAAAAAACATGTGCAGTTGAAAGCCCTGCCAGGACAGCCAGTCTGTAAACATTCGGTGAGTATGTGCTTTGGAAGGGCGCCCGCGCCTCAGTGCCCACAGCAAACTCCAGCAGGGCTGGCGAGGGTGCGCCCGGCTGCCGCCTCCTGGGCAGGGCCGCGCTGGACCGAGGTGGGTGGGGGCATCAGGGCCCCGCAGCACGCCCCTCTCCAGCTTCGCATCAGGGCGAGGGGCAGGGCTGGGGGCAGGTGGGTTGCAGTTTCATTCTGAGTTCCATCCTCAGCCGCGTTTTGGTTGCAACTCATGGCTTTTCCTGGCTGTTCGGAGGTTCCTTGGATGGGTGCCCTGGTGAAGAGGCCAGAGAAGAGCCCAGGGCTGCCTCGTTGGGCGTCTCCCTGGCCTCGGTGCCTCTGTCCTGCCTCCTTCAAGTGGGGCCCCAGGCAGGACAACCCTACCCGAGGGTCAACTTTGGTCTCAGCGCTTGGTCCCTCTGGGTTTCCTCAGCCCGCTCTTCCTCCTGGGTGGCTGATCTGAGTTTCACAAAAAAGCTCGGCTGATGCTGGCTGTGCTGAACCTCATTGTACAGTTTTTCATGCACCAAAGGAAGGGCCATCTGGGGCCCCCCTCCTCCTCTCTCTTCGTCACTTTTCCTTCTCCTCTTCCTCCTCCTCCACCTCCTCCCAGCCCATGGTCACTTCTTCTCGAGCTGCTCGAGCAGTGGGTTGCCTTCTGACTCGGGGGTCTTGACACTGTCGGTCCGGACGATGCAGGTGGGGCGGTGTCGGTTCAGCATCAGGATGAGCTGCTGCCGCTCCTGCTTCAGCTCCTCAATCTGGGTCTTCAGCTCTGCGTTCATGAGTTCCAGCCGCTCGGATTCCTGTATACCAACACAGAAGCACGCTGTGAGTTTCACGGGGACTGGCTCTGGGGAGAGGCTCTGCCTGTGGTTAGGCACAGGGCACGCTGGGCTGGCACTGGCCTGTTTTCTGCAGGAAGAAGCACAGACCCTGCTACTGAGCCCCTGGCTAACTGACTTTCTGCAGGCAGTGCCTGCCACAGCGGTGACACTGGCCTGTGTCATGTCCAGGTTATATTCTAGGGCCAGCCAGACTCACGTCCCACCTCTCTCCCCTCCCTCAATCCACCCCAGCTTCAGTGACCACCTTGCTGTTGCTCAAATATGCCAAATACTCTGCCGCCTCAGGGCCTTTGCACAAGAAAGAAAGGGTGGGCAAAGAAAGGAGGCCAGGTGGACCTAGAGCAGGTCTACGGAGCAAGCATGGGGGGGCCCAAGAGGGGACCCAGATGGCAGTGTAACGGCAACGTGCTTTGATGTGTGACAGACACATGTGGGAGATATCTTGGCCGGTGGGATCAGTGAGTGTAGTGTAGTCATGTCATTCCTCCTAAAACATGTGCTTCCTAGCTATTAGTCTATAATTATTTCAATAGCCTCTTCCTTATCCCTATAATCTGGAAGCTTTGCCCACAGACAGGGAATCAGCAGTCATCCTGCTGGATCCCAAATGAGGTTTCCAATAGACCTTGAGTGAGATTTCCAGGGAACTTCCGGCTCAGCTGGAGAGGTTCCAGGGGAAGGAAGGAATGTTGACGATTTGATTCGGGAGGTGGCGAGGGTTACATGTCCATCGTGTAGATGGGAGATGGGCATATCGATTCAAGGCTTGGGGGATTGAACAGTAAAACAGCATCTGAATGATTTTTCTTGGATTATGTCTGAAAACTTTGAGACTTGGCATTTATTCGAGGGCCAGCAAAGTTTCAGACCAGTGGTTCTCAACTAGGACTGATTTTTGCCTCCCAGGAGACATTTGGCAATGTCTGCAGACATTTTTGATTGTCACAACTCAGAGGGAGCTGTGCTACCAGCATCTAGCAGGTAGATGCCAGAGATGCTCTAAACACCCTTCAATGCACAGGCCAGCCCCACAAGTATTTAGTCCAAAATGGCGATAGCGTAAGAGATTGAGCAACTTGTATCAGTCAAAGAGCAAGCAGTAGTTGCAACTGCGTATGTGACAACCAGAGGGCCCGTAAGCCCATAAGCCTGCCAGTCCTCCTGGCAGGGTACAGGTGGAGCGGCCTCCCCAGGGGGTCCCCAGAACCCTCAGTGGGCCCAACCCTCTCCCTCCAGGGGTCCCGTCTTCCTCCCACAGCTGGTCTGACCGAACTGTTCCTTGGCTCATCTCTGAGGTGGCAGCATGAGTGCCCGGGAACTCTGAGACGGGCAGGCCTCGTGACCAGACGCTGAGAGAAAACAGCCTCACTAAAGGAAAAAAAAATGCTCGGGGAAAATATTAAAAACCAGCTCTGGTGGTTTTTGGTTCCACAGGCTGGGACGTGACTGGGAAGCTGGCCTGGTCCTCTGTTCTGAGAATTCCAAGAGAGGCGCATCTCGGAGGGCCAGGAGAGACCCCTCGTGAATCCATGGAAGCCTGTGAGCCCTCGGGCTGGGGCAGTTAGGTGCCAATGTCAGCCCCCTGCTCACTGGTGACTCTCTGGTGACCTTGGGAACTTCTCACAAACCCTCTGACCATCACGGTCTCCCCAGCCCAAGGGCTTAGTTCCATCTTCAAACTCTCCTGAGCCCCTGCCTCAAGGGGTGTCAGGGTAACCCACCCATCTGTGAGTGTTTGCTGAGGCCCTGCTATGTACAGTGAATGCCCTGGGGAATCCAAGAGCCATGAGCCCCCAACTGGCTCTTGTGGCCTTTCCACTGTAAGGGGAAGAAGCAATCTGTGCAACAAGGCAGAGCTTACTACTGTGTGACCAACAGCCACCCAGGGTTCAGAAGACCTTAGAGAGGGCTAAAGAGCGGGTCTGACCTTGGGCATGAAAGATGGGTTGACTCAGGCTGGGTTGAGAAGGGGAAGGAGGGACTTGCGGGTGGAGAACCCTGAGTGAACAAAGACCCAGGCATGGGAAAGCTTAGGATGGGTTTAGAAGGGAAAACTACTCCACTGTGATCATAGCTCGCTTTAGGACTTAGTAGGGTAGAAAGTGAGAAGGTGGGTTGAGAGCCAGCCTGTAGCTCTGGAAAGCTTGTGGGTTCAGAATCTGAGTCTAGAAGCAAGTTTCTTAACTTCTCTGAGCCTCAGTTATCTCCTCTGTAGACAGGTGAGGCTCTTGGGGATTAGATGAACTCACAGGGAAAAAGCACTCTGTAAACCAGAGAGGCTTACTGTAACTTATAAGCAAGAGAATAGCATAAAGAAGAAAGAGAGGAAGAGAAGGAAGACGTCTCAAAGAAAAATCAGCTGATCTTGGTGACTAGCTGGATTTGGAGAAGGAAGGAGATAGGGCAGAGAGCTGACTATGAACCCAATGGAGGGTCTGAGGAATGAAGCCTGGGAGGGCAGCTGTTCTGGAAAGCGGTGGGAAGGAAAAGGAGGAGTTTGTTTTGGGTACAGTGAGTTTGAAGTTAAAACTGGACATGCAAGGGGAAGCCTCTGACAGGCAGAATTCAACAGCACTGCACACATAGATCTGCCTCCTAGAAATTACCACGTGTCAAACCAACTCTATGTGGGAGCGTCTGTATCACACACAAAGATCAGTGCAGTGTAGGGTAACTTGCTTTACTCATGCAGCTATCATACAAAGAACATTATATTCTGTGGGTTTTAAATGTTAGGGTACATCATTGAATATCCTGAATTCTGACTGTCTGGCTGTCAGAATGTAACTAACTGCTTTTTTTCTTTTGAAACAGAGTCTCACTCTGTCACCCAGGCTGGAGTGCAGTGGCATGATCTTGGCTCACTGCAACCTCTGCCTCCAAGGTTCAAGCAATTCTCGTGCCTCAGCCACCCAAGTAGCTAGGATTACAGGCATGTGCCACCACGCCTGGCTAATTTTTGTATATTTAGTAGAGACAGGGTTTCACTATGTTAGCCAGGCTGGTCTCAAACTCTTGGCCTCAAGTGATCTGCCTGCCTCGGCCTCCCAAAGTGCTGGGATTACAGGCATGAGCCACCGCGCCCAGCCAGAATGTAACTAACTGCCTTTTAGTTTTACTGCCTTCCACACTCAAAGAGTTATTAGTTGGCTCTACATATTTATTTATTGTGTAAATATAAGTTGAGTTCAGAAGAATCTTTTTTTTTTAAACCATGATTGTAGAAGTGGTTTGTGACTTTATAACAACAATTATCTAATTTGTTTTCCTAATTAATGAAGGAACTGAGCGAAGATCTTTCTCACATTAATTATGAAGCATATACCTCCGGCTGCATTTTTGTTTATTGTTTTGACTTCTGTTAGATATTTATTGCCCCAGAGAAAATGAAACCATTTGTTGTTTTAGAATAGAATTAGTGCATATTAAGGTTCTGCCTCCTACACTGTGGTCGGCAAAGGCAGTAGAAAGAATACAAGGTGAAGGGCTGGGTGTCCTGGCTTTTAATCCTGGCTGTGTGAACTTGGCCACGTCACTTCCTCTCTCTGGGCCTCAGTTTCCTCCCAGAAAATATGATGATTGGCCCAGGGGACTTTAAGCATTAAGATTGTTTGAATTGGCTGGGCATGGTGGCTCACACCTGTAATCCCAGAACTTTGGGAGGCCGAGGTAGGAGGATCACTTGTGTCCAGGAGTTCAAGACCAGCCTAGGCAACACAGGGAGCCCCGGTCTCTACAAAAAAACAGAAAATTAGCCAGGCATGGTCGTGTGCTTGTAGTCCCAGCTACTCAGGAGGCTGAGGTGGGAGGATCACTTGAGCCTGGGAGTACAAGGCTGCAGTGAGCTATGACTATGCTACTGCACTCCAGCCTGGGTGACAAAGTGAGACTCTGTCTCAAAAACAGCAACAGCAACAACAAAAGACCATCTGAATCTATATTTTTTAAAAAGCTATTCTAAGGCATATAAAATAGATTTCCACTAAGTTTTTGTAAGAGCTGAGAAGCAGCCTGATATGCCCCTTTGAGCCTGAAAGACCTGTCTGGATTAAAATCCTGACTCTGCTACTTGCTAGCTATGCTTCCACAAACGAGTTTCCTAATTTCTTTTGAGTCTGGGCAACCTGAATATTGTGTGGGGCACAGAGGAAGCCCCAGGTTCTCGTCCTGACTCGGCCACTGGGTGACCTTGAACTTCATCAATGGATAGGACTGCCTTTCCTCTTCCCAGGGCCACTGTGACCATCAGGAGAGAGTGGCTATGAAGACCAGAGGGCACCACGGGAGTGTGAGATAGCATTATTGCTACTAACATCTAGAGAACCTGGGTTAGGACAGCAGAGAGACAGAAGCTGCCAGCATTATACAAGGCAGAAGCCTCAGGGCCACTGCTCCTGACCGCAGATGGAGGATGTACTGAGGCAGCCCCAGGGCCTGTGGGGTGTGGACCTGACCCCTCCCAAGGCCTGCCCCTTCCCCGGGGTTCAGGGCCTCGGCTAGTCTAGGCAGGCGAACTCTGAGATGCAGTTAAGAATCTTCCAGGTGTGGATCTGGTTGTCCAGGGGTCAAGGGTGGGACGGTGGCTTTTTACCTATGACATATATACAGTTGTCTCTCAGTAGCCATGGGCGACTGGTCCCAGGACTCCCCGAGGATACCAAAATCCGAGGATGCTCAAGTTTCTTACATAAAATGGCGTGTTATTTGGATATCACCTATACACATCTCCCGTATACTTTAAATCATCTCTAGGTTACTTATAATGACTAATACGATGTAAATGCTATGTAAATAGCTGCTATGCTGCATTGTTTAGGGAATAAACAGTACAGATGCTTTTTTTTCTGAATACTTTTGATCTACTGTTGGTCAAATCACAGCTGCAGAACCCTTGGCTATGAAAGGCCGCCTGTAGATATTTGTCCCAACTGTATATATCCCCTTACTTAAATAATTACTATTTATTAACAATTAACATATGTATCTCTGAGCCTTGTATTTTACCTATTAAAAATAAACTACAAGAGAATCCCCCAGGTCTGCAGGCACTGACTGTCAACACAGCCGCCTGCATTCATGCCCTAAACTTCACACCAAACCTCTGCTTCCAAGGCTGGGGAGGAGGAGGAGAACACAGGGGTGAGGGGAGGACTGGGCTTGGGCCCAGACAATGCTGCCCAAATCTCCTCCCAGACCCCAAGGCCGCGCACTTCTGTCTCACTGGAACAACATGACACTTCCAAAACTGATCCTTCTACCTCAATCTGTGCCCCACATTGCCGCCAGAGGGATCTTTTGAAGGTGTGCGTCTCCCCTCCTGCAGCCCTTCAGTGACTCTCCATGACCATATAATTCATCATCCTAGAGCAGCACTTGTGAGAGTGAAGGAAGGGGCTACTAATCATTAGGCCAGGACAACAGGCACAGAATGGGCATGCCTCAGGCAACCCAGCATCTAGCATCACCCTATTATGAGGGATCTGGGCCCTGCCTGCCTCTCCACCCCACTACTTGGTACTCTAAACTCCAGCTGGTATCCTTTTCAATGCCTTAAACACATCCTTAAACAGCACCTTTTGCCTTTGCTTGAACCCTTCCATTCCTCATAACCCCCTAGGGCCTCCATCTCACTGCTCCTACTCCTCTTTTATGTCTGAATTGAAGCAGCCTTTCCTTAGCCTAGACCAGGACAGGGCCCCTGCTGTGTGTTCTCACAGCTGGCTAGGCTTGCCCAACATAACGCTCGGCACACGTCACTTTCCTTGTTTCCTGCCTCCCATCCCACTGCCGACACCGCCTGCCTGCCCTCTGTGCCCTAGGCACTCACTAAACACCTACTAAATGGACGGGTGGATCAGCAAAGGATGAATACATCCAAGCCCACCACTCGCTAGCAGTGTGACCTTGGCCAAGTAACTTGACCTCTCTGAGCTACAGGTCAGTCTCTAAAATGGGGATAAATAATATTATCTCACTGGAATATTATAAGGATTAAATAAAACATGGGAAATGCCTGGCACACAGTAGGTGCTCAGCTAGTGTTCCTGGAATGTGATGGGCAGTGAGTGCCATTCATTGGGCACCAACTCTTTATTGCACTGGTGTGTCACTAACATGCTGTCCGCTAGGGCGTATCTTGCCTGGTAACTGGCTGACAAGCTCTTGAAGGCAGGGATCTCACGTGAAGCTTCTCTAGTCCCTGCTTTCTCATCCAGCTCTGCTCATGGCAGGCACTTGGTGCTGGAAATGAGGTATGTGGCACTTCATCCATCTTGAAGGCTCGTGTCTTAGAAACTTCCTGAAGATTCCCAGCCCAATGTTGTAGCACCATCTCTTCCAACGGGCTCCCAGATCCAGGAATCTAACTCTAATCTACAATAACCATTCCCTGCACTGGACACTCACAGCCTGGAGGTAGATACACGGCCCCATGCTGTCTACACCCATGACCACAGAATAGCTCTCTGCTTGTTGCAAGTGTGAGAAGATGCCCATAGACCCTCCAGAGTCCAAAAACACCAGGCCAATCTAGCCTTGTCTCTCCAGCTCCCACAGGAGGACCGTGTCTGCTGCTTCCTGTGTGCCCCCAGTGTACCCAACACACGGATGCACATTTAGTACATGCTTAAAAATACCCGTTGAATCAATTAATGAACAAAAGAGCAAACAAATGAATGAATGCCAATATAGCAGAGATGTGGGCAAATTACTCAGCCCCACACTTCCTTAGTTTCCTTATCTGTAGAAAGAGACTAATGAAGGTACCCACTTCATATGGTTATTATCCCAATAAAATGAGATAATGTACATACAGCATTCAGCACAGCACCCAACTTTACAAATAGTGGCAACTATTGTTAGTTACTGTGTACTTACAGAATAGGACCCGCCCCTATGTTATTATTATACATTATCGTTATTATTATTCAGCAAAGAACCAATGATTAGGGGTGGAAAGACCAGAGACTCCTGGCCTGCACTGATTAGCTTTCTGGTCATGTTCCCTCACTGCCAGCCACCATTTCTGAGATGCAGGGAAGCTCTGAGAGGCAGGACTTGGGAGAAAAAGAACAAACATCCTGCTTGGCACATTCCAAATGAAAGGGCAGGTAGGGCCAGGAGGAAAAGCAACCCCTGGCTGACCTCTACATGCAGAGCTGACCTCTTATTCCCAGAGGTAGCAGCAAAGAGCTTGGAGGTCACCTTCAGTGGAGCTGAGGGGCTGGCCAGATGGCATGCAGGGCTGGATAAGACACCTGCAGCTAAGGGAAGGAGCTTTTCTCTGTGCAAAGTTAGCCAGGCCAGAGGCTGTGTCCAGTGCCCACATGCAGGATGTTACTACCTAGCTTCATTGGCACCCACCCTAGACGACTTTGGTAGCCACCAGGGAACCAAAATAGATAGTGGCAGTCCTGGGCCATCTGGGTCAATCAGCACCAAGGGTCTAACCTCAGTGGAGGGGAATTTGGCTCCTCCTTCCTTCTTGGGCTTCCAGGGGTTGTGTGGGCAGGAACTGCTGAAGGCTGCCCTTGGTTGTCTTGGTTCAGAGATTGGGGAGGAAACAGGAGGTAGGAAAGAGCAGAGGGGCCAAGGCTGCTTTGGCAGCTGCCAGCAGATGCTCATTGACTACAGAGACATCTGATGGCCTCTCCTGGTCCAGAGTACACAAGCTCACTCCAAGGAATGGCAGGCCTCCCCACCCACCCGGTCAGCTCACCCGCTGCAGAAACTCCGTGCGCTCCTTCTTCTTGTTCCGGCATCGGGCTGCTGCGACTTTGTTCTTCTCCCGGCGCCTTTTCCTTCGCTCCTCTTCCTCATCTAGCTGTGAGGGCACAGAGCCACTGATTAGACACTGAGGCAGGCTTGGAGTACAGTTTCTGTCCTGACACATAGACAGAGGGACAACTTCGCCTTTCTAACCCACATCTCGGCAGTGAACAAGTGATCACTTCTGCCAGCCCACTGCCTGGAGAGTTGGAAATACCTCCCAGCCAGTCCAAGGATCCTCTCAGAGCATCCCAGGGAGGAGTCAGTAGCCCAAACGGGCAGGGATTCTGCTCTGGTTTGAATGTGTCTCCCAAACTTCAAGTGTTAGAAACTTAATCCCCAATGCAACAGTGTTGAGAGGTGACACCTTTAAGAGGTGGTTAGTAACAATATTAATGAATGGATTAATGTTGTTATTAGAAAAGGGGATTTGTTATAAAAGGAAATTTGGCCCTTTCTTGCTGTCTTGTACTCTCTTGCTTTCCCACCTTCTGCCCTAGGATGATGCAGCAAGAAGGCCCTCACAAGACACCAGTACCTTGATATTGGACTTCACAACCTCCAGAACTGTGAGAAATAAATTTCTTTTCTTTATAAATTACTCAGTTGGTGGTATTCTGTGATAGTAACACAAAATGGACTAAGACAGATATCCAGGTTCAGATGTCCTGAGGGAGAAGCAAGCCCAGAGACTCAGGAAGCCCCTCGCTTCTGCCCCCAGGGTCCCTCAGCTCTCCCACAGGTGGACATTCTGGGGGAAGAATATGCAAAAGCAGAGAAAAGGATTAAAGCCAGATGAGGAGTTCAGGAGGCCAGGAGCCTGGCAAATCTACTCACACAGAGGTGGCACCCAACGGGCGGTGACGACCTTTTCTTTTGCCCAGCCCAAGCCCTCTGGGTACAATTTTCCAGGCCAGTGGTTCCCAGGCACTTCCTTTAAAAACGTCTTGGGCATGGACACAGGTTCCACATTCCACTGCCACCTTCCCACCTCCTTGACTATCTTTGTCCTCTCCTCTTACCTTCTGTTGGGATTTAAGATCTTCCCCGCTCCTCCATACCCAATGTTCCTTTCTTGGCCCTTTCCAAATGCTGGGATCCATTTCCTCTTGTCACTAACAGTCTCCCCAGCCTCCTCATCTGGCTTTAATCCTTTCCCCCAGGATGCCCACCTGTGGGAGAGCTGAAGGACCCTGGGGAACAAGCAAGGGGCCTCCTGAGCCTCCGGGCTTGCTTCTCCCTCAGGACATGTTAATAAACTCACCATGCGTGAAATACGACCCCTGGAATGGGGGAGAAGGAGACTCACTGCCCACTAGCACAGACTTCGAATCAAAGTTGCTGTTGTTATTGCTCCATTAGTAATAATAACAAGAGGTGCCATTTGTTGCCTACTTTGATAAATGCTTTAAACACATGTCATTTAATCCTCACCATCAAAGTCTTATGAGGAAGTTACTATTACTGTACCATTTTACAGATGGTGAGACTGAGGCTCAATAGTTCAATTTGCCCAAGGCCATACAACTACAAAATAGCAGATTAGGATTCAAACTCAGATTTCTCTGGTTTCAAGCACCCTGCTCCTGACCACCAGCCCTTACAGCCCCAGTCCATCAGGAGCACTTTGATGTGGCACCTCTTGCTGCCTCTTGCCTACCTACCTGGTAGGTGATCTACCAGGAAAATCTGAAGGACACCCAGGACCAGCTGGGCTGGGGACAGACCAGAGTCATAGGCCATTAGAGAAGCCGTTGGATTGTCCTGGGCTTGCCAACTCTCTCACTTCTCCAGCCAGGGAGGAGGGTGTGGGGGGTGACTCTGGCAGCCCAAGGCCTGGAACAAGGTCTCAGCCCAAAGGGCTATAGGCCAGGAAAATAAACAGCCTCTCTCTGCACACTCCCAGCATGCTCTGGGGGCTCAGGACAGAGCGCCTGGGCCCGAGACCAGCACCATGGCCATCGGCACAGGCCTTGGCAGGGCAGCCCCCTTTCTGCCTCCTCACCACCTCTGAGCTTCTCCCTGCCCCACTCCCACCCCACCTGGGAGTCAGCTGCAGAGGCGCCTCGTCAACACCGCCACACCCAAGCACCTCCCAGTCCCTTGGCCTTCTTTGAAACTGAACCAGAAGTGACAGCTCCTCTGGCTGACCTGCATCTGGGAAAATAGAAACCTGGCTGAAATTGATTCCGCCCAACCTTAACCTCACCCCCAACAAGGCCAAGGTAACCGTGACGACAGGCAGAGGGAAGGAACTGGAGGAAGTGGCTGGCGGTGCAATCTCCCTTCGGCCAGGAGGGTTTGCCCACAAACTGCCAAGGTGATGTGTGCAGCCTGGGTACTGCAAGGCCTTGTGTCCTCCCCTGAGCAACCAACCTCTGCCCTCCAAGGCTTCAATCCCTACCCCCATCCTGCACAGGGCCTTATTCCACAGAAAGTCAGAAGCAGACAGAAGCTGCTTTAGCAGCAATGCAAAAAGATTCAGAGCTGGAAGAAAGTTTAAGAGATCAACTGGGCCAGGCTGAGGCCCAGGTCAGGGGCCGCTCCTCCTCCCCTCTCCAGCCACGTTCATCCCCTCCTGCATCACCCTCTAGTCCAAATGTCTCACCCTTCTCCAAGCCAGCCAGGCCCTCTCAGCCTTGAGTGAGATATCCTTCCTTTCCCACTTGGTAAACTCTTAACTGAACCTCGAGAGTAAACATCACCTCCTCCAGGAAGGGTCCTTTGACTCCCCAGATAGAATCAGCTGCTTTTAGCTAAAAACAGAAATACTATTCAATCCAGCAATCTCATTCCTGAGTATATACCCCAAGGAATATAAATCATTCTACCATAAAGACACAGGCATGTGTATTTTCATTGCAGCACTGTTCACAATAGCAAAGACACAGAATCAACCTGAATGCTCAATGATAGACTGGATAAAGAAAATGTGGTACATATTACACAATAGAATATTATGCAGCCATAAAAAGGAACAGGATCATGTCCTTTGCGGGAACATAGATGGAGCTCAGGTTATTATCCTTAGCAAACTACCACAGCAACAGAAAACCAAATACGGCATGTTCTCACTAATAAGTGGGAGCTAAATGATGAGAACACACGGACACACAGAGAGGAACAACACACACTGGGGCCTACTTGAGGGTGGAGGGTAGGAGGAGGGAGAGGATCAGAAAAAATAATTATTGGCTACTAGGCTTAGAACCTGGGTGATGAAATAATCTGTACAACAAACCCTCGTGACATGAATTTACCTATATAACAAATCTGCACACATACCCCTGAACTTAAAAGTTAAAAAAGAAAAAGAATCCGCTGCTTTTTTGGTGCTGCTACAGCACTGTAGGAGTCTCCATCGCATCCTACCACAAGCGTCGGTTTGTGTGGGTGCCTGTTTTCCCTGCTAGCCTGAAGAACCGGACCTGAGCATTCCCGGCACCTGGTACAGAGTGTGGCACTCAGGAGGGGCTCAACAAATGTCACTCAGATGAATGAATGGAATTCAGGATTCCAGAGAGAGATGCTACAGGCTTAGATTCTTTCATTACAAAGTGACTTATCACCCGTTTGCATCTGCATGGCCTTTTCCCCAGCGCTCACGGGAGCTTTCTCTGCCGGGGTGGCCTCTTCTCTCTGTTTGTAGTAGGCCAGCAAAGCTGGGAGCCTGCCTTCCCTAGAAGCACACTGGCTGAAGGCAGAGTTTAGATTTGGGGGCACAGGCCCCTGACAGCTATGGCAAGTCTGCATGAGCCCTAAGCAGGCCAGGAAAAAACTTAGGGTGTGTGCTGAGGCCTAGAGCCCCCAGTTCCACAGCCACCACCAGCTTCCAAGCCCAGCCCCAGGCCTTTCCTGCACCCATGCCCCCAACCTTGGCTGGTATCTCCCAATGAGGCAAGATGTGATCCCAAAGCCCCATCCTCATACCTTCCCCATTGAAACTGTGCTGCATCACCCCTAAATCCTCGCACTGCTATTTAAGAGCTGCCCAGAGGTGTAGAAAACAGCTGTTAAGGCCCTACCAGAAACAAGACAGGCATTTGGCAGATCCCCTCTGCCTTCATGCCCCACAGCTAACATGGCCTGTGCCATCTGTACCCCTAGACAGGGACCACTTGGAGACTCTCCCCAGCCCTTCTTGGGGCTCCTTCGTCCCCAGAGTCAGGGCTGCTGCCTCCTCCTTCCTGGTGCTTCTTGAATTCTCTAAAGCATTTGCCCATGTGTGGGAGAAAGACGGCAGAGAGTATTTGTACCACACATGGCTCTGACATCTGAAACCAGAACCCCAAACTGGGTGATAATGATTTGTTTCCGCAGATACAGCTGGAAGAACCAGGATGTTTGAAGAGGAGGCAGCTTGACGCTCAATACATTTAAAGAACCATGAGATGCGGGCTGAGGGTGGGAGGGGAGCATGCTTTTCCCTGTTCTCAAACTTAGTGTTGGCTCTGTTTTCCTGCAGTTTCCCAGGAAGGCCCAAGGGCAAGGCCATCCGGGTCCTGGCAGTGAGGGGTACTGCTGTGCCACACTTCACATTGGATGGAGAGACCTGGGGACTCAGGACCAAGAGGGCCCTCGTGCAGAGCAGCCCCGCCTCACCCAGACCCCTCCTCAGACAGCCTGCTCTCAAGCCCCTGCCACAGCTGACTGGACGAGGCATGAATGGCTGAGCCGAGCTGTACTCACTCTCCTGGAATTTTAAATTGGACAGGGAGATCCTGAGTGCTGGACTGAGGGGTCATGCAGGGCCGGGCAACCAACTTCACCCCCAGGCACAGGGAGGCAGGAAGATCGGGCTGTGAAGTTTAGGGTGAGCAGAGACCAGAGACCACGTACCAAGAGAGAAACAACCACTCAGCTCCAAGACGGGGTCAGGGAGACAAAGAAACAGGCAAAGAGAGGGAAAGGGGGATGGAGAGAAAAGCCGGGCCTGGAGCAGGGGAAAGCAGGTGGGGTGCCCAAGGCACACATTTAAGCAAGTGCAGGGTCAGCACCAAAGAGGAAGCACCTCCCTACATGCCACGCCCCCGGGCACCTCACCCAGGCTTGCTCACCTCACCAGGCCCTGAGACAGAGCACTCCCGACAAACAGGCAGACAGACAGAGACAGTGGGACAGAGAAACACACAGAACACGGAGATGAAGAAGGGGAGAGAGAGACACAGAGGCAGTGCCACAGGGAGAGAAACATGCAGAGATGTGGACAGAAGCCAACGGCACAGACAGAGGAACAATCAACAGAAGACACACAGAGAAAGACGCTGTCTTGGTCCTCTTGATGCCACCCTGGTGAGGACTGACTATGCTCCTTGTCATTGGGACTATGAATCTGTCAAAATTCCTCCCTTGGCTTGAAGGGAGTTTGAGAAGGTTTCTGCCACATGCCACTGAAAGATGCCTGGGACACCAAGCTTCTACCCTTGGAGGTCAGGTGATGCCAGGGGCTAATGGAGGAGCTGAAGATGGTCCCCAGTGACCAGGGGTGAAATCCCACCCTCAGCAACATTCCTAAAACCGCTGAGAAAGCAGCAGAGCCTGGATGCGGAAGGGCCCTTAAGCAGCCGCCAATAAAAGGCAGAGGTGGGTCACCTCGGTCGGTACCAAAGCCCCTGGACTAGGGGATCCCAGCAGGAAACAGGGGTTTATTTAAAGGAAATTAATGAGGGAACTACTTACAGGGGGTGGACAGAGCTTAGGGAACCCGGGACCAGCAGCAGTGGAGTCACGAACACCTCCGGCCTGAGGCTAGGGTCAGGAGTGATGATTGGAACCCAGGGAGAGCTGTCACTTAGCCATGGCAGAGGGTCACCAGACAGGAGCTGTGCTCTTTGGTAGAGGAACACACCACTGCCCAATGGGTGCCCAGCAGGGAGGGATCAGGGGAATGAATATCCCAAATTCTTTTCTAAGGCTGGTACCTCCTAATGGCCAAGTTCAACCAGAAGCCAGAGTGGAAGGACTCCTGGGTAATGTGGTCCATTGAGATGAGCCACCTGGGGCACAGAGCAGGGTAAAACGGGAATGGATCTGATAGGCAAACAAGACTATCTCGTGTATGAATCTATCTCTGTGATTTACATAAGTCCACCCCCAGTCCTGGACCCAGTCACGGCCTGCAGGCAGGAGTCAATGACAGCAACAGTTGAGAGATTCCTACAGGGCTCGTGGTCATCCCCACAGCGAGCACTTCCTGGACGTTTGCCAGGAGTCAGGCACTGTGGAGTGTGGTTGGCCAACAGCACAATCAGCCTCACCCAAGCTCTTGTTAGAAATGCAGTCTTGAAGGC
Source organism: Homo sapiens (assembly GCF_000001405.40). Taxonomy (NCBI): domain Eukaryota; kingdom Metazoa; phylum Chordata; class Mammalia; order Primates; family Hominidae; genus Homo; species Homo sapiens. The sequence continues at coordinate 75,455,190 of NC_000014.9, read as the reverse complement.
CACCCAGACCTACTGAATCAGGATCTGTATGCAGTACATGCGCACGCAGATTTGTGTGCCCAGAGAAGTTTGCCCTGGAGCCGATTAAGGACTCACACAGTCCATTTAGCAGGTTGTCATGATTCCACCTGCAAAATACATCTCTAAGGTGTCCACCACATTCTCCATCCCTGCTGCCTCCAGCCTGGTCCAAGCCCTCGTCGCCTCTGCACTGGACGGCTGCAGTGGCTCCAAAGGGCTCTCCCTTGGCTAAAACACAAGTCAGCTCCTCTGCTTGCAACCCTCCAACAGCTTCCAACACATGTGGCCCACAGAACCGAGAAAACCTGGCTCCTCCTGCCTCTCTGACCTTCCACTACATCGCCCTCCTCTACCCCTCAACTCCAACAATGGGCCTTCTTCCTCTCCCTCAAAACGACAAGTTCTTCCCTGTCCCCCGGGTTTGTACTTGCTGCTCCTTCTTGACGTCTTTACTGACCACCCCAAACTAAAAGCCCTGTCCTGTTACTATCTCCCTGTGTATTTCCTTCAAGGTGCATTCACTAACAGCACTTATCTTTTTCACATGCATGTTTGCCTGCCCGTTGTCAGTTTCCCATGAGAACCTTAATCTATTCATAGTTAATCTATATAAATATCTCAGTCTATCATCACCTTCACCACTGTCACTCAGCCACCAGAGCTGAGCATGGCACAGAATGGGTGTTTATTAACTAAATTAACTACATTTAATTTGCCATCTCAGTAAGTCACCCAGCACAGCTCTATTCAGCTTCCCCACTTTTGCAGATGAGGAAACTAAGAACATCAAGGCTGCGTAGATGCTCAGTGACAGCGCAGGACTCGTATCCAGGTCTTTGGGCCGCAGGGCCTGAGCACGTCCTGCTCTTCAAGGGGTGGGTGGTCTGATCATGATCACTGCCTTTAGAGTTAGAAGTTTTTAACATGTTTTAAAAAACGTTATTGCACAATTTACATGAAGGTGTAACATTCAAGCTCCATGGTTTAAAGGAGGGGACGTCACCAGCTCCTCTCGGGCCTAACCCTCACCCATTTCCGTGTTTCTCAGGCCCCGTCTGCAGGTGGCGCGGCATTTCCACTGTGACAAACAGCAGCCCAGATGTGATTTTGAATTCTGACTTTTCATAAGCGTTTTCAAAAACATAGCTTGCAGGACCCACAGAGAGACAGAATGAGAAAGAGAAATTACATTCTCAACCCAAGGCGCTGAAAATACAGAAACTCTCACATGGACAAAGAAATAAAGGAAGTGATAAGCAAAAATGGACACAAAAGAAAAACCAAAACCCCCAGCACTAACCAGAGTAGCCCAAGTCTGAGGGTTCTGTCTCATACTAAGAATTGTTGCCTGGGCAGACAGAACCAGGCTAATCTGAGACTTGTGGCATCAGAGTTGACAGTGTGAGCTTTGGTTGGTGGGGTTGGGGGGTGGTCTTTAAGACCTGAGTTCCTCCAGAAGCTCTGCTGTAGACCAGCTGTGTGCTCCTGGGCAAGTTACTTGGCCTCTCTGAGCCTCCATTCCTCACTTGTACAGGAAGGTACTGAGCCCTGCCGCACATGGTAGTAATGAGGACTGAGTTCCAGCCCAGAGCCGGGAGCACAGGAAGAGTTCCGTGATGCCAGCTTCCCTGCCTTCCTTCGCAGGCAAGGCGGAGGTGGTGCTATTGCAGCAGCGGCACACTGGCCTGCCTCCGGGCAGAATGCGGCACAGAAAGGAGTACTGCGGAGAGGGAGGAGCAGGCTGGGGAGTTCAGGGCGTGCTGAGTTGTCAGTGAGCAGGCCTGGAGTAACAGCCCCGCAGCCTCCAAATCTAGCCTCAGGCCTCACACAGCCAGCCAGGCCCACCAGGGCCCCCCCTGCATGGAGGAGCCACATTTCAACACCAGGGACCCATGAGCACCCTGGGAAGTAAACACCCAAATACCAAACATACCAGACATTCCCCTACATAAACAGGGCTGCACTAAGCCAGGGGCTGCAGTCCCTCCCCACTCCCCCACCCCCCATCAACAAAGTAGGGCAATTCAGGGACAAGATCTCAGCCTGCCCAGCCGGCTAGGCCCATAGCCTCCTCCCACTCCAGGAGGGAGGAATGAGGAAACCCCAGGGGCCCTCAGCCAACTCCCTTGCTGACCCCCGGCAGCCTGCAGGGGCCAGGCCCTCCCAGCATCCCCCATGGGGCTGAGCTGTTGGAAACTCTCTGCCCTCCTGTCTCTCCCGTCATCTCTTGCCAGGCCTTCTTACTCAGTGGCCAAGGTCTGGGCCTCAGCTGTGAAATATTGAGCTGTTTCAGTGAACAGCGGGCAGGGCTTTAGGAGAAAATTCAAGACAAATGGTCAGTCTAAGGCTGGGGTTGCAGACTCACATCACCTCAGGGGTCAAGCAAGTAACTCACCATTAGTGAGGGGGGAGGGCTGGATGGGGCGGTGGCCACCCCTCCTGCCATGGGAGGGGACACTAGCCCCAGTGGGATGCAGGCTCAGTGCTGCTAATTCTTCCAAGTTTTCAAGAAAATATAAATTTTTGAAGTAAAATCTCCCACTTTTGAATGTCAGCAACAAATTCCATTTTGAAAGGAACACCGCATGAGCCAAACAAAACACATCTGTGGGCTGCACTGGCCCACGGCTGCTGATTTATGACCTCTGGCAGTCAGCTGACCCTAGTGGGCTTGTCCTCAGAAGCCTGGGCTCTGGTCACCACAGTGCCCTGCTCTGTGACCTCGAGTCAATCAGGTCACCTCTCCGGTCCTGGGGCTCATCTTTAATAAGCACAAGTAGCTCCCATTTCTCACTGACCTTCAAACACATCTGCAAGGTGGGTCTCAGGGGCCTTATTTTACAAGTGAGAAAACTGAGGCTCAGCGAGGTGGAGTGTCTGCCCGAGGCTGCCAAGCTGGGAAAAGACAGGGATTGACTCCATTCCATCAGGCTACCTTCCACACGGTGGGCTGGACTAAAATCTCCGCAAAGTCCTTTCCAGCTCTGACTTCTCTGGGTTTTCATTCATCCAGCCTTCAAGGGCAGCGTGGGCCTGATTGAGGGATGTAGGAAGGGTGCCCCCTAATTTCTTATAAGAAGTTTCTTAGCTGGGCACAGTGGTGTACACCAGTAGTCCCAGCCACTCAGGAGGCTGAGGCTGGAGGATTGCTTGAGCCCAGGATGTTGAGACTGCAGTAAGCCATGATTGTGCCACTGCACTCCGGCCTGGGCAACAGAGCAAGACTCTGTCTCGAAAAAAAGAAAAAAGAAGTTTCTGCTTTTACAGACGCTTAGTGCCAGGGGCTCTTGGAAGCACCAAGGCTAATCCCTAGATTTTAGATGAGGAAACTGAGTCCCAGAGAAGGAAATGGCTTGCTCTTCAAGACAGGGATTGGGTCTTCACAGACCAGCCCAGAGGACACTGCTTGGTCCATCCTCCTGGGAGGCTCTGCCTGACTGTGCATCATCCCTCTTTCCTGAATTTTCCATGCCCTGGACCCACTCCCCTGCACCTGCCCATCCTCTGACCTTGCCTTTCCAGTCTCCTGCTATTTCCCATCCCTTCCGGGCTGTTTTCCAGGTCCCATCCTTGGCCTGCTACTCTCCTCACTCGATACGCACGGCCTGTGGATCTCCGTTTGCATCTACTCACGTGGTTTCAGCCACCACCCATACACTAATGCCAACCAAATCTGGATTTGCAGACCCAAATATCCAAGTGCCAGCTGGGCCAGACGCTCAACGTGGATGTCCCTGAGGGCTCACTACCTGCCTCCCCACACCCCCGTCCCTCTTGTTATCTCCAATTTTGATCACGCCAGCCATCCAATTCTAGATTTTAAATCTTCGTCAGATTTGCTCCCCCCATCCACCCCCACTGTCACTTTCCAGGCCCACTGTCTCTCCTTGACCACTGCCCCAGTCCCCCAGGAGGCCTCCAGATCCTGCACAACCATCCTCCATCCCAGCCATCGGAAGGATCTTTCTAAAATGCAAATCTGGCCCAGTTACTGTGCACCTTACCCTCCGGATGAGGCCCAAGCTCCTATGTCAAATGAGGTTGCTGGGACTTGGCCCCACCTGCTGTGGTCTTACCACCTGTTGATCCCAGGGTTCCGCTCTATGCTCCTGAAACACTGAGGTGCCATATACCATACACTTCCCTGGCCTTCATGCCTTTGCCCTGCTGTCCCCTTGGCTTACTTCTCATGTCTCCTGTACATGCAGCTGGAGCATCACCTCCCACTGGAAGCCCTCCCTGATTTTCACACCCTGTAGGCTGAGGAGGTGTCCCTCTGCTCTGAGCGTATCCTGGCCCCTACTGTATTATATTCTATTCACAGTTTCTGACTCCTCCATTAAACTGGGAGTTCCACGAGGGCAAAGTCTGCATCTTGTTGACTTTTTGTGTGCTCAGCACCTTGCGTGGTTAGGGAGGAAGGGAGGCCTGATCCACAGAGCTGGTGACCTGGGCAAGAACCCAGACACTCCTGACTCCAAGTCCAAGGTTCTTTCCACTTCACTTCAGCTGCCCCCAACAGCAGGATGTAATCAAGCACATTCACCTGTGAACAAACCCACACACTGGACGCTGTGCTCACTCAAATCAGCTCAGCCAACCACCAGGTGAAGGCTCTGAACAAGAGCTGGCAGAGGCAATGGCTCCACCTGCCAAGATGAGTCACTCGGCTCCCATGGCTGGGGGCACGGGTGGATAAGCCATTGCCCTGTGTGCACAGCATCTGCAGGAAACAGTGTGGGAAGCAGGGCTGCAAACTAAGCTCCAGCCTTAGATTCTGCAACTGAGAAGACCCAGAGACCCTAGATCCTGGCTGCATCCTCAGGCCAGGAACTCAAGGTCAGAGAAGGGGAATGAGTGTGCCCCGGTCCTGGGTCGGACAGTGACAGGACCAACTGGAAGGCTACTGCTTTCTGGGAAGAGGCAGGGGACACCTTCTGTATGAACTGAAAGCCTGACACCCTACAATCTTTGTGGGGCATCAGAGCCCACAGGTGGATCCTTCCAAACTGACTCCTCAGTCTCCTCGTATCTCAGCCAGATGCAGCATGTCTCTGACCAGGGCCCTCCCAACTCCCCTTGTCCATAGTAAAAACCTTCTTTTGCATTAAGAGAACCCCAAAAACAACAGGCCGCCGAGGTGTGAGGCTGGTTTATATGAACAGAATAGGAAAAGGCCATTCTCTCAAAAACCAGTGGAGAACAGCCCCATTTCCACGGCTAAGAAAAGACAGCATTGTGTTTGGAACAAAGCCTGAGAAAGCCAGCTAGGCAGGGTGACACCCATTTACAGCCGGTTTTGCTAAGGAAAGAGCAAACACTGTTATTACAAAAGTGAGAAAGAATCCAGGAGACACAGGAAAAATCACCTTGGCACAGACAGAAAACCTAACACTGAAGAGAAAAAGAGATGATGATTGCTAGGAAATCCTTTTGCTAGAGAAGAGCTATTTGGGGAAGGATGTCTTTTGCTGAAATATGTCTATTTCAGGCCCATTTCATATTTATGACTTAGTGGGGTCTAGTTTCCCACTAGGCAATCAATCTGTTTTCTTGTCCAATTGACAGTCACTTCAAAAGATGAGAAAAGGAGAGAAATGGTGGCCCCCACAAGACCCTCATCACCCCCAAAAGACTGGTGAGAAGCAGAATGCATCTGGCAGGGAAAAATCTGTCTTCTTCTCAAAGAGTTAATAATACAGCTGAAACTGACTCTTTAACAACAACAAATGGTGTAATATGCCTTGATTACACTGGGTCAAAAATGGAGACAAGAGCTCCTGCAAAATGACTCTATCTACAATTAAATGAAAATGCAGTCGTTGCACAGAATATTTATGAACAAGGCTGTTCTGAAAGTCCCAAGCTGGCCAAAGTAGGAGAACATTTCAAGTTCCATCTTATTAAAGCCTTTGGAAGTCATTTGTCTTTCATCATGAAGGTGAAAAACAAGGTCCTTGGCTTAATTATTCTCTACCAAGGCAGTTCCATTTAATCTGTATGCAGGGTGTGTGGCTAAAACATGCATTTCATCCAATTTCTTTCAAGCACAAGGCACAGATAACAGACAAATCTCCCGGCAAAGGCAACCTCCCCATCAAGAATACTGAACACCAGCTAATATAAACCCTACCGAGGTGAAAGGGCCAAACCGTTCACAGCCAGGGATATCTGGCCCGGAGGATGGAAGAGGGGTTTTACCAAGAGTGATTTATTTAAGGAGATGGATGCAATTTAGGTGCAGAGAGAAGGTATGGAAGGGCTTTGCCACACTGAGGCAGATAGAGTGGGACACAGAGCTCCCCATTGCCAGGGCTATGGAGTGGATCCTCAGTTATCAGACCAGAACTGCTGAGAACTCTGGGTCAGTGGCAGCAAATGAGGGTTCCTTTGGCATGAGAACAGCTTCTCTGATTCTTCCTTCTAAAACAATGAAGGAACCAGCCTATTGACAAGCTCGGCAGCGTAATTAATTGGGAAGTCCCTTAGGGCGTGGACGTGGCAATGTTGAGCATCTCAAGACATGGAAATAACTGGTTTGGAAACGCTAAGGTATTTGCTGATTCAGAAAGCAACCCCTGCCTTACACAGATTCGGGGAACCATAAGCATTAATGAGTATCCAATGGCAGGTGGATCCATCTAGGAAGCTTGAGATAGGTGTTGAGAAAAATGTGGTTTTAGATCCTTTAACCATTCTCAGATAGAATCATGGCCAGTCAGAGCTGGAAGGGGTGACCATGGAGACATGCTCTACATGTGCAGAGAGCATCAGAATCCCCTGGGGGGCTTATTGCATCATGGATTTCTGGGCCCCACCCTTCAGAGAGTGTGCTTCAGTATGTTTAGGGTAAGACCCAAGAATCTGCACTTCTAACAAGCTCCCAGATGCTGACCCCACTTTAAGTAGCATCTATTGGTTTCAGCAACAGAAACATCTTGTTCAAATGATACCACAAAATACTCAACAGGTTAAGGCGGTATATATTTTACTTAAGGGCTTACAATTGCATCATATCCTTATTATAGTCATTCAATGAGAACAAAAAGATGTTTTGGCTGGTGCAAAACCTTTAACTCAGAGGTTATCTGAGATAGTTGCAGGTTTCTGATAATCTCGTATCCAAATTATTCCTGTCTTTTGTTTTTCTTGCGCATTCAGTTTAGTAGTTAGTTACAAATGGTAGGTAGGTGATAGCTAGCTAACTAGCTAGCCGGGCACAGTGGCTCACGCCTGTAATCCCAGCACTTTGGGAGGCCAAGGCAGGTGGATCACTTTGAGCTCAGGAGTTCGAGACCAGCCTGGGCAACATGGCAAAACCCCATCTCTACTAAAAATACAAAAATTAGCCAGGCATGGTGGTACACACCTGTAATCCCAGCTATTCAGGAGGCTGAGCCAGGAGAATCACTTGAACCCCAGAGGCAGAGGTTGCAGTGAGCCGAGATCACGCCACTGCACTCCAGCCTGGGCAATAGTGAGACTCCAACTCAAAAAAAATAAAAAACATAGACAGATAATAGATAGTGCCTCATCAGCTTGCTTTCCACTCTCAGGATGCTCATCAGTTAATGCGAAGTAGCAGGAAGAGCTTTGTGCTGAAGTCTATGTAAAATAGATTAACCTGGCACCAGCTGTCACCTTGGCAGTGCTCTCCAAGGTGTTAGGTCTGATAACTAATAGGTATGAGCATGTGTGTGGATCTTGCCTTTTTTTAATAATAGATAAAATTATGCTTTAAAAAATGAGACCCTGGCAAGTGACTTAATCTTCTGAGCGTCAGCTCTCTAACAACTCATACTACTAACACCACCTCATAGGGTTGTTGGAACAGATCAGAGATGACGTCTACAAAAGAAGTTTGCAAACTATAAAGTGCATTGCTTGTGTATGACTTCTGACCTGAACACAGATGTCCTCGCTCCTTCAAAGAACTGGGCTGGTTTCTTAACTGGATTACCAGGTTTTCAGCTAATGGCTACAGGTTAGAACACCTGCCAGCCCCACTCAGACCAGCTGAATCAGGATCAATATTTTTGAAAGACTTTCCGGGGAATTCTAATCAGTAGTCAGAGTTAGAAACTGCTATTCTATACCATATATCCTCCCTAGTTCTATATTAAATCCTATCAGATTGTTCTCCTTGCTCCTGGATAGATACTAGCAATAAAAAGGAAAAAAGGCTTCTTCACTGCCGCTGGTCTAAAAGGGGGTTTTAATAACCCTAGCTACTAATTCTGGAACATTGTTACATACTGGGGGATTTGTATACATTATTCCTTTTCAGCCTCCCCACAACCCTGTAAGGCAGATATTATTATTCTCCATTTTTAAAAGCACTTTATTGAGATCAAACTCACACATACCATACAATTTGTCCATTAAAGTATACAATTCACCAACTTGTATTATATCCAGAGTTGTGCAACTATCACTACAATTTTAGAACACTTTCATCACCCCCAAAAGAAACCTCATATCCCTTGGCCATCACTCCCCACTCCTCCCATCTCCCCACCCCTAGGTAACCACAGTACTGGCTCTACTTCCTGTCTCTATGAATTTGCCTATTCTGGACATTTCATCTAAATGGACCCACACACTCTGTGGTCTCTTGTGGCTGGCTTCTTTTACCCAGCATAATGTTTCCAAGGTTCATCCATATTACAGCATGTATCAGTTCTTCATTCCTTTTTATGGCTAAATAATAATCCATTGTATGGATAGACCATGTTTTATTTATTCATGCACCAATTCATGGACATTTGAGCTGCTTCCACTTTGGAGCTATTATGAATAATGCCACTGTAAACTCTCATGTATGTTTTTGTGTGGACATGTTTTCCTTTCTGTTGGGAAAGGAAATATATGTAGGAGTGAAATGGCTGGATCGCATGGGAACTCTGTTTAGCCATTTGAGGAACTGCCAGACTGTTTTCCAAAGTGGCTGCATCATTTTACATTCCCACGATCAATTCATGACGACAGCTTCTCCACATGCTCACCAATACTTGTTATTATCTCTTTTTTTTCACTATAGTCATCCTAGTGGGTGCAAAGTAGTATCTCATTGTGGTTTTTGACTTGTATTTCCTTGATGGCTATGATGTTGAGCATTTTTTCATGTGCTTAGTTGCCATTTATATATTTTCTTTGGAGAAATTAATATTGAGATCTTTTGCCCATTTTTCTACTGGGTTATTTGTCTTATTATTGAGCTGTAATCATTCTTTATATATTCTAGATACAAGTCCCTTATTGGATCTACGATTTGCAAACATTTTCTCTCATTCTGTGGATTTTCTTTTTACTTTGTGTCCTTTGAAGTACCAAAGTTTTTAATTTTGAAGATGTCCAATTTATTTTTTTTATTTTGTTGCTTTTATTTTTGGCATAAAATCTAAGAAACCACTACCTAATCCAAGGTCACAAAGATTTACAGCTGTTTTCTTCTAAGAGTTTTCTAGTTTTCACTCTTACATTTAGGCCTTCGATCCATTTTGAGATAATATATGTATATGGTACTAGGTACTAGGTAGGGGTCTATTTCCCCTATTTTTACAAGGGACGAAACTGAATTTCAAACATCTAGTGAACTCTCCAGAGCCAAACTATTCCAATGCAGCAGTCCTGCTTTGCTACATTGCCTCCAAAAAGGCAAGGGTTTTTATTCGCGGGGACTGGGGAGTTGGTAGGGTGTAGGGAGGACTACAGAGGCAAACCACGGAGGAGTTTGTCAGAGCATACACATGCACTACGCTCAGTAAAAGGGGATCCTGTAGCCACAGAGCAGAGCACAGTCAATGAGCCCCAGCATATGGCAGGTTGTACACAACCTGGAAGGGTGGCTAAACCCAGAGGAGGCCCAGGCCCTCACTCCCAGCACTTTCACATCCCGCCTGAATCCATCCATGAGTTCCTCTAGATCTCCATGCTCCAACCTCAGGCCAGGTTGCCTTGTGCCTTTTGGGCACAGTAGAAGGAAAACAGACTTAAATGGCTTCATAGTTGTTCAGCCAGATGAGCCTCACCCAGGAGAGGACTCAGTTTCCCAACTCTGAGTCCATGTTGCCGGTGGACCTGGAAACATCAAAGTAAGATGGTAGGATTGACAGAAGACTTGACAGCCCTTCTTAAGGCTGCTAAAAGATTGTTGGTTGATGGGAATACAACGATGACATTAACACCACAGGAAACAAGATAAGGGGTCACAGAAGGCAGCTTAGGGGAAAACAGAGGCTTGAAAAGCCTTCTCATTTATAGTTTGTTATGATAATTAAAACTCCAGCTGCGTCTAAACTGCATAAACAACCAGAAACTGGAAAGTCTGCTTGCTTCCCTGAAACCCAGGTCATAGGCTAATACTTCAGAAAGGTTAGTGCTGTCAGAATAGGTAGTTCACTACACATGGAATCAGTCTCTAACAAAGGTAATTTACGGACATACTGCACTGCAGTCAAGGTCATCTTTCACACAGCACCTCACTTAATCTTCGCGATGAAGCTCTGTGATGAGGATGTGGATCCAGTCACCATGTGCAGTATGTGCAGGAAACTGTACTACTTTGGAAAGGGCAGTTTGGATTTTCTCCTGTTACAGATGAGGAAACGAGCTAACTTTCCCAAGGTTGTGCTGGGAATGAGCGAGAGAGCCAGACTTTGAACCCAGAACTTGCACCCAAGCCCAGAACTCTTCCCAGGCCCCAGAAGTAGCCCCTCTGGTTAGGAAGCCTGGATGTGCCCTGCTCCTGCAACGCCTCAGACCACCCACCATCTCCGAGGACAAAATACCCTCAGGTCAATACAAGCCCAAGAAACAGGTTTTTGATTCAATTATAAAAACTACTTTGCACGATCAACACATTTGAAAAGTGAGTCACAAGCCTACCTTATATCTGTGTCTTACTAAGTGCCAGGCATCATGTGAAACCTTTAGCAGCATTAGTTCATTTCATTATCATAGCAGCAACAGGGGTTGGTGGCTCACGCCTGTAATCCCAGCACTTTGGGAGGCCAAGATGGGAGGATCGCTTGAGCCCAGGAGTCCAAAAACAGCCTGGGCAACATGGCAAAACCCCCATCTCTACAAAAAATACAAAAATTAGCCAGGCATGGTGACATGTGCCTGTAGTCCCAGCTACTCAGGAGGCTGAGGTGAGAGGATTTCTTGAGCTCAAGAGGTCAAGGCTGCAGTGAGCCAAGATCATGCCATTGCACTCCAGCCTGGGCAACAGAGTGAGAATCTGTCTCAAAAAAAAAAATTCATAACAACACTAAGAGGTAGGTATTATTATTATCCTCACTTTAAGATATTAATAGAAAACCTAAGAAGCTGTAAGACTTCCTGAGCTTTTCAGAGGTGTCTGATTTCTGCTAAGGACATAGAGATCCAGCCACGTCCTCACCACCACCTCTCCAAGGGACCCTGTGCTAGGATAACAGTGGGTGTGACCGACTTCTGATTTTAAATAAAAGCTTCAGAACCCTTGTGAATGCTCTGGATATGGTATCAAATAAGACTCAACACCACAGGGGCCAATGTTAAACACACTCATAGCTGCCTTTAACTATCACTCATTCTCCCTCAAATTTAATTTTTTTTTTTAAGCTAACAGCTTTCGAAAATGTGCTAACAAAGTAACGGAACTAAAGTGGAAATTACGGATTTCAAAGATGAGTTGGGAGATTCTGTTCCAAGAGAGGACAGATTGGACCTCTCTGCCAAACAAGTATGAGACAAAAAAAGCATCTGAGTCAGGGGGAAGAAGGCCAATGCTATTCCAAAGAGCCACAATTAAAAACCAATTATGCAAAGCTTGCTAAAAAATGTCAGTGGGCTGCCTTTACGTTTCAAATCACTAAAAACACAAGCATGCTTAGGCCAACATTTACCCAGCACATCAGCTGGTTTGGGGCAACTTTTTCTGCTCAGGCTAAACATGGATGCACGTCTTGGTCTCTGTTATGAACAAAGTCTGGGAAGACCACCTGGGGCTGAGTGAACATGGCTTCCAAGGCCGCTCTCTGGTCCATGGATTCCTATTCACACTTCATCCAAAACGGGAAAACCCTCTCAATGTTCTCCAGGGACCCTGGAGAAGATGGGAAATCGCCAATGTGAAATCCACAGACAGTTAAGTCTCCTCTCCAGCTCTGAAAATGATGAGGACACGGATCCGGTCCCCATGTGGAATACACACAGGAAACTGCCCTACGTTGGAAAGGGCAGTCCACAATGATACGTATGCACCGATTCCTCGGGGTGACACCCCCAGAAAGCTCCCTGACAAGGATCAGAAGAGCCTGAGGAGAGGAAGAAACCGCAAAGAGTCACATTCCCAAAAGTAGCTGAGTCATCTCTGAGCCTACTAGCTATACAGCTTCCCAGGACTCTACCCTCAGATATTCTGATTCCATGGACCTTGGGTGAGGTCTAGAAATTTATACTTTTTAAGAAGTTTCCCAAGGTGTTTTGATGACCAGCCACGTTTGGGAATGATTGGTTTGATTTTTGTTGTATTTTGTTTTTTTCTGCCTGAAGTCAACGAAATTTGGAAATAGCAAAACCTAATGAACAATGGCTGGAGATAAGAATTGGGAGGTAGAGCGATCAAGGAATAAAGTTTAAGTGACTTGCCAAGTTGACACAGCTCATAATGTTCAAACAAACAAGCAAGGTCTGTGGGACATAAACATGGGACACAGACTCAAAATCAGGCTGGCAACACAGATGGTATGAAGCGGGCTGGGGGTAAGACATCAGTGAGTAGTGGGGAATGCGGTGAACTCAAGGCTGTATACAAATACAGCAGGCATCTGCCCCTCAGCTCCAACCTCTTGTTGTGTATAAGGGTGTGGCCTTAAGTGGGTAGATATTCTGGTTTTTTAAAAGAAGCCAGAGAGTCCACATTTCCCGGCTTTTAAATATGGCAATTCATTCAATTTTTTAAAAAAGAAAAAGAAAACCACACTGTGATTTTGTTAAAAAAGAAAGAAAAAGCAAACCACCCTGTGAACAAGATTCATCTGTAGGCCGACTCCTGCCCCTTAACGACAGTGTGCAGCCTCTTTCCTGAAAGGTCATCCAGTTTAGCCTCCCTTGAACTCTTGAGTCCCCTCTAGAGCACCGAGACGTGGCGAGAGGGTGAGGGGTCCTGTCTAGCAGGTTGATTAGTAAGTGTCTGGTGTGTCTATGTGTGTGTGCAAGGGTGGGGCTTCAGGCCTCCCTCCCCTCCCAACTGAAAATGCATTCCAGACCCAGAGGCAGGGTGTGACCACCACAGCCACAGCTCGCTGGGAGATGACCTGGGAAGGGCCAAGATCTTCAGGCCAATAGGGACTGGTTGGTGGAGGAGTCCAGCTGTGAGGGGCTACAGAGGAAAAGTCAAGGAAGGAAAGCTCTGGAGAAAGCCAGAGAGCAAAGCTGTCCTGAAAGCGAATACTAGAAAAGAAAGGAGAAAGAAGCAACAGCTTTAAAAATCCCACAACCCAGGAAATGACGTTCCCAGGGTCCCTGGCCAACCATCAGAATGAGCAGTCCTACCACTGCCACGTCCTTGGTCTGCTTAATTTTTCTTCGTGGTGCTGACCACTAACTCACCTTATATATCGTGTATTAATTTGCTTACTTTTGGATGCCGTCACTGCAATATACGGTGCCGAGAGATGTAAGGCTTTGACTGCTTTATCTGTAGCTCTGTTCCCAGTGCCTGGTGCAGTGCTCAGCACATAGTAGATGCTTAACAAATATGGCTTGAACAAAGGGACTGCAGGCAAGCAGTTGGCACCAAAACAGTTTAACGTCATGTGTTGACCATGTAATAATAATGACATCAGCACAAAGCACTTTATAATTCACAAAACCTGTCGTTGAACTTAATTCCTCCCATTTTCTTTTACTGAATTGCTCCATGCGTTTGGACAGAGCCCAGGAGACTGCTGGCCTCTGCAAGGCAAACAACCCAAGAACCAGCTCTGACAGAGCTGCCCGCACAGCGGCTCAGCCGGCTCGCTCTCTCGCTCTCTCTCTCTCTCTCCCTCTCTCTCTCTCTCGGAACTAGGAGACAGTAAGGCTGCAGGACTGCAGGGCTCAGCACTCATCAGACAATGTCATCAAAATGATCGAACATTCTGCGGCCAGGTTCATCCAGCCTCCCCAGCTCAACAGAGCTCTGGTTAGAAGCCTGGAAGGGGTATAGAGGCATGGGAGGCCACACGGCATGTGGTTAAAGCTTGGGCTCAAGGCAGACTGCCTGAGCTCATTTCCCAGCCAGTGACCTTGGACCTCCCTCAGCCTTGTTGACCTCATCTGTAATGTGGGTATAACAACAGCAACAACACTAGTTACTTCAGAGGGTACTTGTGCAGGGTAAACAAGGTACTTCACAAAGAGACCTAGTACCGTGCCTAGGGCTTAGCTCAGCACAAGTGAGACCCGGCTGTAACGGCAGCCATCGTCCACCACACCAGGCCCCAGCGCTATCACTTCCCAGCAGTGTGACCCTGAGTGACTGAACCCCCTCCCTAGACCTCAAACTCTTCTCTACTATGGGGGTAACCTGGACTCCAGGACTGAATAAGGAATGAATGAAGTCATGCATGTTAAGCACTTTGTGCAGGTCCTGGGACATATTAAATGCTTAATGAGCTAGTATCTGATTATTATTAAAGAAACTTTTACTAGTCTAAAATGCCAATATGAAAATCCGCTCAAGGCAGTTTGCCATATGCAAATAGATCTTCAGACCATAGATTCTTCAGCTGCAAGTTTCTTTCCCCACCCCGCTTTAGGTTTTAGTTACTCCAAGAATTAGCTCTTCCCGCCCCTGGGGTCTGACCTAGGAAGCATTTGGAGGTCGGTTCGCAGTGCAGGGCTGGCATCTCTCTACATCGGTACAATCTCGCAGCTCCATCTGCCTCTTCGCCCCCACAACACTGCAGTCTGACAGCGAGGGAGAGGACATGCAAATATGCCCTAAAAACGGCTTGTTATTTTTGCGGCCTGGATGGTGCACGTCTGTGGGTGCCTGTGAGGACAGCACGTCACTGTCGGGTACAGGGCAGATGCCACCAATTTGGGGGTGGCTGTAAAATGTAAAAATACCCAACCCAAATAAAAGTGGCTTTTCCAAAAATAAAAAATAAAAAAAGGGAAGAGTTCCTCCAGTGCCTTTTGCAGAGGAGAGAGGTGTTAACTCAGCCCCCCAGGCGAATCCCAGCTTGACGACCTCTGCCCAAGACACCTGGCTCTTCATCAACCCCATGCGCAGCCTTAGTGCCCCCATGAAACTGCTCAGCTACTGGCTCTAAATGGCAATTTTACTGTGGAATGATCCAGAAACAGATGCTCTCAAGTTACAGACCTGGGAAGGTGAGGAGCAGAGGGCCAAAAGACAAGGACCCTCCATCGTGAAGACAGAACACTATATAAGCCGGGATGTGCCCCAACGACACATTGGCTTACAAGATCAATTCAGAAGAATGTAATCACCATCAACTCACAGCTTGTAATCCACAGTCTTTAGTAGGCACCTATGATGGACCTTATCCACGTGTCTTGAGCACAAATGGCTAACAGGGACCAGGCAGTAGAGGTAAATGAAGGCAGATGGTAGTAGCAAAAGCAAAACCAACAATGTAAGTAGGATCACGAATAACAGGGAGGTGCAGGGGCCTGTGGCCCACTGGAAAGAGGAAACAGTGAAGTGCCTCTGTCCACCCCACTTAGCCATTACCATGCCAGAACAGGGTAGTGTATGATGAGATCTTACAATTTTTTAATCAAAATTTTCAAATGAAATGGGGGTTCGCGTTTCTTTTAAAA
The DNA here is from genome assembly GCF_000001405.40 of Homo sapiens. Classification (NCBI taxonomy): domain Eukaryota; kingdom Metazoa; phylum Chordata; class Mammalia; order Primates; family Hominidae; genus Homo; species Homo sapiens. Next base: position 75,439,347 of record NC_000014.9, on the reverse strand, counting down.
CACTGAGCCGGCCAAACAAAATACATCTGAGAGCCAGGTCCAGCCTGCAAATGGCCAGTTTGCCACCACGGCCAGTTTGCCACCACAGCCAAGCCCCCAGCAGTCCTCTGCAGTTTTTAGGTACCTATCAGGAGAAGGGGAGCTGAGAGATAGTTGCCTAATATCCCCAGCTCTCCCCTACGGGTACCCAGACACCCTTCTCCACGAAGAAAGTCCTCTCTCCAGCACTTCCAGCACTTCAGCCCTCCGAGCTCCCCCCAGGCTCATCTTTGCCTGTGAACTCTCCCTCCAAGCAGAGCTACCATTCCCAGATGCTCAGCTGCTTCCTGCGCCCTCCCGATCCCAGCCTCTTCCCCACCTCCCACCACAGGCTCCTCCTTTCCAGGGGGCAGCTACTCTGGCAGGCCTCTGAAGAAACGGCGCTGCTGGGAACCTTGCTGGGACAGGCCTTCAGAGAAACGGCCAGCCCTGGGCAAGTCGCCGGGGGCATGCCCTGCACAGATCCTCAGCCATGCCGGGGACTGCTGCTGCTCACCAGTGCCCCGAGAAAAAGGGCTCATGAGAGCTGCAGGTGCAAGGGACCTGAGGAGGAATTCCTTGCAAATGCCACATGTGGGTGCTCCACGTGTGGGTCCCGGGCAAACGCCATCTAAGGCGGACACTGCTGGCTGACCGAGGCCATGCCTAGCTCTGGCAGCTGCTTGGGAAGGGAGGCCACGCTACTCTTCCTCCAAGTTCCCTGGTTCAGCTGCAGAAAGGGCCAAGAGGGGTGGAGGTCACGATGTGACTAATGATAACAATTTTAAAAGATAACCTAATATTGGCATTCTCTTGTCTACTTTTCAAAACATGTACACATTCCCATTCCCATTATCTCCCCAATCCTCCCACCACCCCAGAGAGATGGCCAAGATATTACTATTCATTACTGTCATTATTATCACTCTTCCACCGCCCCCCAGAGAACCAGAGACAGGTTAAACATCCTCCCCTGGCCCAGTGCTTCTCAAGTGTTAATACGTCCACGAATCCCTGGGGGATCTTGTTAAGATGCAGATTCTGATACAGAAGGCCTGGGGCGAGGCCTGGGATTCCACATTTCTGATAACCCCAGGGTGGTACGGATGATACTGGTCCTCAGACCACACTTTGAACAGCAAGGTTAAGGTCCCATGGTGGGTTTAAGGCCAGACCTGGAATCTGCCAGGGGTAAAAGGCTCGCTCACCTCACTTTTCACGGGCTGGGGCCTCTTGCCCAGTTTCACCTCCAGGAAGTGCAAGGGTGCAATCATGGCCCCGAGGTTGCGGATGTCAGCGTATTTCAGCTCCTCCACAGTCAGGGCCGAGCTGGGGAGCCCGGTCAGGGGGCCAAGCCCTGGCAGGGAGCCTGTGGTCACCGAAGGGTCCGGGATCTGCCCAGGCATCATAGCAGGAGGAGTGGCAGGCCAGCCTGGAGTGGGCAGGAAAAGAGCAGGACAGTCAGCCAGGTTGGGGGCTCCAGGAGGGCTCAAGTCCCTCGTCTTGCCAGGACTGTGGCTTCTTTCACCAATGTTCCCCTGAATCCCTTTCCCACCCAGCTGCTCTTCCTGCCGTAAAGTCCTTCCTGTTATAGAGGAAAAGTTGCTCAATTAACTCACACCAAGGTCACCCTTGGCACTGCCAGAAGTGTCTGCCTTTTTTATTTTGAAGGCAATGCTTGACCCAATCATAGGCAACATGTATTCAGCCTTTGGTATGTGCCAGGCCCCATGGTAATCCTGCAGTCCCATTAGGCTGGATCAGAGGTCATTACACAGAGGAAGTAGCCAAGCTTAGAATGATAATTCGCTTAAGGTTGTACACAGTTAAAATTGGTGGAGCTGGGATTTCAATGGCAGCATACAGTCTCTGAAGAGAGCGAATTATAACGGCAGAACCTCAAGCACCTTCACACCTGTTTCAGAGGAAGCTATTTTTGGTCTGGCATGGTGCCTCCCCTCCAATCACACATCCTATTCTGCATATTTGTTAAGACACCCTGAGTAGGAGATGAAGCAAATCTAAGTTAAAGGTGAGTGTGTGTGCTATCTATGAGGAAGGGACTGAGGCAAAGCAGGTGGAATTAATTAGCATGTGCTTTCCCTGTGGAACCCAGTACCAGAAAACTCCTCCATGCTTTTTTTTTTTTTTTTTTTTGCCCAGGCTGGAGTGCAGTGGCACGATCTCAGCTCACTGCAACCTCCGCCTCCTGGGTTCAAGCAATTCTCCTGTCTCAGCCTCACGAGTAGCTGGAATTACAGGCACCTGCCACCACGCCCAGCTAATTTTTGTATTTTTAGTAGATACAGGAGTTCATCATGTTAGCCAGGCTGGTGTTGAACTCCTGGCTTCAAATGATCTGCCCACCTTGGCCTCCCAAAGTGCTGGGATTATAGGCGTGAGCCACTGCGCCCGGCTACCTCCATGTTCTCTTCATTCTCAGAGCAAACACATATTCCAGCTCTGCCCAACCAAAAAGGTGTACAAGGGAAGACAGATTCAGACATGGAAGAAGGATGTAAATTAGACAGGTCAACACCAAGGGAATTCTTCCTTCCCTTTACTGGGGGAAGCTCATGGGTAAGAAATGGTCATTTCAAGGCACAGATGGCAGTGAAGAAAGCTGGTCTGCCAATAAAGCCAGTCCCTTAAAGGGCTCCTCCTACCTACCCATCCATCCAGTTACTGACCACCTACTATAGGCCAGCAGGCACTAGGAATATGGAGGTCAGATGTGCAGTCTTAGCTTTGAAGCAGCCTTTTAAGTAGCATGTTAGTACAAAACTGCTCTTAGATTCTAGTCCTGGAAAGGAAATCATTTCTCCCTCTTTTCACCTTTCTGCCCAGGGCCATAAAATCAAAATATTCGCTGGCTTAGCACTCCTGAGGGAAAATCTTTGGCCTATCCTTCCATCTTTACCTGTCTCTTCCCATGGAGAGAGATGTATTTGGCAGAAGAGGGAAGATCTGATGTCCATCGGACAATACTTCTCCGTTGGGCAGTTAATGTACTCAGATGGCCACATGGTTCTTGGGCTCTCTGTCTCCTGCAGGAGTGGCCTTGGAGGGTGACCCACAACCACCTGCCCCCATTCAGCTTCCCAGGTCTAGATCATTCCAGAGAGGGGCATTTGTGAACCTGTTTTGGCCAAGAGTGCAAGCCATATTCTCCATCTACATTTCACTTTTGAAGGTGAAATTTGGTTCCCTGTCCAAGTCCAGAGTCTATTTCCCAATAAGTTCTATTTCTCTAAGAGAAAAAGCATGTGAGTAACTTGCACCCTCAAGCACAAAGGTTTCCACTGGCCATCACTTTGTCTAAAGCAAGGTGTCTAAAGCGAGGTGCCTGGGAATGGGAAGTGGACCCGCCATTTCATCCTCAGCATGCCTGCTGCATCTGTCATAAAGCCTCTGCCCATAGCTCCCTGGCTTGCCCCAGAGTTTTTATTTGGTGTCCTCAGGCTCCTCTAACTGTGCTCTACCTACTGTGCCTCCCATACCCGGTCCTCTTAGCACTCCTTCCCACTCACATCCTTTCTCTCCTTCCTTCACCCCGTGTCCCCTGGGCCATCAGAAAAAGATCTGAGGCTCAATCACATTGAGTTACAGTTTTAGAGCTGAAGGAGGCCCTGTGCTCATCTAAACCACATCCTCATTTTGACAGGAGGAAACTAAAGCTCAGAGAGGCTAAATGGCCTCCCCAAGGTCACACAGCTGGAGAGGATTGGAGCCAGGGCTCGACTCCTGGTCCCAGGGTTCTAGACCAAAGCTTTCTCACCCTTCCTTCTTTGTTTCCCTTTCTGGGGTCCAATAGGTAACGACGCCTTCAGCAGAAGGAATGACTTTCTCACGGTGGGCTTTCAGACACCAGCCCACAGTAGAGGGTCATTGTCTTGCACAGAGGACCCTCCACCCCCCATGGAGATCCAGGTTTAGGAAGTTCCCTGAATAACTCCACGGTAGCCTGCATGGGAGCCCAGACACAGAAATAGCCCCTGAGACCTCTCGCATGTGGGTGTTCAATGTTCTCTGATCCCCCAAACTCTGAGCTGGACTGGAGCCTAGTGGCAGTAAGAGAGCTCCCTCTCAGCCCTCTGGAATGGAACCTGCAATGCAGAGAGGGCTGCAGCCTGCCACGCTAGGAGGCCGCTCCAGGGCCCTGTAGATGAGCTGCACGTCTCCCCTGGCCTCCTCTAAGGAGAACAGGGAAGGGGCCAGCAGGAAGACCTATTCCTTGTAGCAAAACTGTGCCGGGAACAAACCATGTGGCCACGCGGCCAGCAGCGCTGTGATTCCAGGTGGTAAGCAGCAGTCAGGGCTGGTTGTTGCCCGGGTGACCCCAGTGCTTAGCATCATTTCTGGCGCAGAAAGCATCATCAATAATACTTGTTGAAATAATAACTAAGTGAATAAATGAATGAACAAATGACAGCAAATTCACAGCAGAGCAAAATTCAGCAAATGGTGTAAGAATCCATCTCTGGAAGCTTAGATGCTCGTTATCAGGCTGTAATTTCACCTCCAAGTTATTCATTCCCACAGTAGACCCCAAGAAAAACACTCCAGAGGCTTCTGTGTATTTCCCTGCCTAAGCCTTCCATCTCTGGGAGATGGAAGCCAGACCCCATTCTGTTCCGGGAATGATAGGCTCTGTTTGCAGCTTCTGTTTATTCTCATACAGATGGTAGAAATGAGACACTAACAAATGATCCCAAAATATAATGCATTTTCTGCTACTGTGGAACCCCCTGAAGGAGCGGCCACCCCCTGGGAGCACGGGCCCCATAAATTTTGCCATTTCTGCTCGCCTGTGAATCCATCCCAATGACAAGCCTCACCCAGGAGACAAGGCACTAGTCTTTCCTTTGTAGAAGCAAAAGTCCCCCTGTCTTTCCTCCCCCTGCAAAAGAGCCCCTAACTGCTCAGATATAAACCACAAAGCCCTCAGCCATGCCATTCCTAGGAGACAACCACAACAGCTGATATTCACCAGCCAGAAGTCATCCTAAACATTTCTGGGGGTGGGGGATAGAAGATGGAGGAGCTGAGCAGCTGCCTTTCATAATTGGATCCTCATTAACTGCAAAGAGCTGGCTGACGATCTAAGGCAGAAAGGCAACTTTAGTGATTTGAAAAATAAAACAATTTGATGTGATTTAGGGATCTATAAAAAAGGGGGAGTGGGGGGCAGTGGAGGTGGCAGCACCAAGGAACCAGTAACAGCCAGAAGGAACTTACCCACTTCAAGGAAGACTTAGGAAAGATGACAAGAGGTGAAATCATCTCCCACACTGGTTGTTCCATACGGAAACAATTTAGTAGGAAAAGAAGAACTACGCACTAAAAGCTTCAGAAGAACCCAGAGTTTTTTCCCTTCAGGGCCCAGGAGGTCTGAAAGGCAGATAAACATCCTCAGTGTCTCCATGAGTAACTAGGGGGCATAAATAAGGATTAAGTTCTATCCATTGGCAGAACACCAACATTGGGAAAAGGGGCTTATGCCTCAAAATATAGGCCTGGAATCCAAGAAGACTGGCAATGCGGGACACTGACCAGGAATAAGTTGGAAGCCAGCCAATGAAGGAAAGCTGGGTGAAGCACACATCCAAGATGGCGACTGACTAGCAAGGCATGAATCAGACAGACGAGGTTCAGAAGGTCACCGTGGACCCTAAGCTGTTGTTGATCCTAAGATTATGATGCAGCTCCCTGAAAGCCAACTTGAAGAAAATGGGGACCAGATGGATCCAAGAGGAAAGAACTTGAAAAAAAAAAAAAAAAAGGTCTGAGAGCTGTACTCCCTACTCTTCCTCAGTGACCTGTGGGCACACAGTTAGGACACTGCATTGTACAAGCAGAAGAAAAGCCACAAAACATGTCAAGTCTAGAAAATAGACCCTCCTGGGAGATACTAACATGAAGTGTCATTTCAGAGAAAAGAAAAGCTAAAGGTAACTTATTAAGCTTTTTCCTCTGGTTTTCCTCTCTCATTTTTTGTGTGTAAATCTGTAAAATATTAGGTTGGTGCAAAAGTAATCACGGTTTTTGCCATTGAGCATAATGGCAAAACCCGCGATTACTTTTGCACCAACCTAACCCCTTACATTTTTTTTTTTTTTTTTTTTTTTTTTTTTGAGACGGAGTTTCACTCTTGTTGCCCAGGCTGGAGTGCGGTGGTGCAATCTCAGCTCACCGCAACCTCCGCCTCCCGGGTTCAAGTGATTCTCCTGCCTCAGCTTCTTGAGTAGCTGGGATTACAGGCATGCGCCACCATGCCTGGCTAATTTTTTAGTAGAGACGGGGTTTCTCCATGTTGGTCAGGCTGGTCTCGAACTCCCAACCTCAGGTGATCCACCCGCCTCAGCCTCCCAAAGTGCTGGGATTACGGGCGTGAGCCACCGTGCCCGGTCCTTAAATCTTTTTTTAATGGAAGTGTCTATAAATGATAACAGTCTTGTTTTATGGGTCAAAGGTACAAGGGCCGTTCTTGCTAGAAAGTGCCCAACGATCAGCATTTTCATCCAGAATGGCAAAGGTAAATAAAAAGAAACAGGTTAAGAGAAACTTAGCATCTGCATCATGAACTTTCTGTCCATAGAAACAAAGGTTTCAAGGAGGCTATAAAACTCCTGGGCCTCTTTGAGAAGGTAAGCTCCCCTCCGGGCCAGCAGCTGGCTTGGGCTGCCACGAGGAATAGGAATGGGTGTGCACGTGGGTGCGGTCTAAGGTTCAAGGTTTGGTGCTGGGAGAATGCGGAGGTGAGAGTGACAAGCCAAGGAGGGAGGGAGTTTACAGGGGCAAGCCCCATGAGAAATAAGGGGTTGGAAGTCGACGGCAGGGCATGGGCAATGGCGACTGAGACTCAACAAGAGAAGTGGGGGACCTTGGGAGCCAGAGCCTGGGAAGATTCCCAGGACAGAACCGGATGCGGAGGGCAGGAGTCCACAGAGAAGGTCAGAAAGGTGCCAGGCCAGGGGTCATGGCGCATAGTACCTGCTACCATGAATCTTGGAGAATCAACCACCAAGCCTCTTCTTGGAGCTAAGGAATCACCCAGGATGACCTCTCTCTTGGAATCTGAATGACGTAGGTCACGCGGCTTCCAAAAGTCGAGGAGATCCAGAAGGCGAGAAGCAAGATGATGGGGAAGGCCCCAAGACTGAGAGTGAAGGCGAGCAGCAAAAGGCCCTCTTCAGATGGCTGTCCCCAGCTCTGCAGGCCAAGAGGAAGGGGGGGTTAAGAGTGGCGGTTTTGGAGCCAGATCACCTGAGTGTGAATCCTAGCTCTGTCCCTTCTTACTAGCTGTGTGCCCTTGGGCAAGTTCCCTAACCTCTCTGTGCCTCTCTTTCCTCAGCTGTAAAGAATAACAATGTTATTTGCCCTGTATGGCTGTCAAGAGGATTAAATTAGTTAATACTTGGAAAGTACCTGGAACAGTGCCTGCACATAGTAAGAGTGAAGTCAGTGTGGCCACCAGGGCCTTCCTTCCTGGAGGGGCACTAGTGCCAGATGACCCCTCAAGGTCCCTTCTGGACTAGTCTCTGTTTCCTGCAGCCATGAAGAGGATTCTCCCCAGAGGATTCTCCGCTCTCCCACTTTCCAGCTCTAAACCCCAAGGGGGCAGGACCATCTTGCATCCTGGCAGTTGACTGCAGAACAGAAACAAAGGGTGCCAGGTCAGGGCTGGGTAGAAGGTGCAGAAATGGGGCCCAGCACCTGCCCTCGGCCTCGGTTTCCTCTAAGGTCTCCTCCACCCTGCAGGCCAGAACACAGCTGCACAGACACTGGCAACAAGGTGCCATCAAGAACTAGGTTTCCATTTCTGCCCCAAGGCAGACAGCCAGCATCTCCTGTGCCCTCTACTCCATCCCTGCACTGCTTCATAAGAAGACAAGGAGCGGTAGCTGGGTTCAAGAGAAGCCACTGAACACTGGCAGCCGTGATCCCTGCACAGCCATCCCAGCCATAGAAGAACCTGGAACCAACCCCCAGGGAACTCCTGCTCTTCCCTGGAGACCAGAGAAATGCTTCCAAGGCCTTGCCTATAACATCGCTTTGTCCTCTGCCTAATGTAGGCGCTCAATAAATACATATGAAGTTATCTCTGCCAGGAATCTTTAACCCAGGCAGCAAGAGGAAGCTGGGAGCGTACAACCATTGGACAAGCTTTCTATTTTCCCTTCTACTTCACGCCAGCTCTGGTCCTTGGTGGCTGGCAGGGGTTAACACTACCACACCTAATACAGACACACACACAAGGTGTGATAATCGCCCTGGTCTTTTTTTTAAAAAATGCCACTGGCCAGCTGAAGCTTTGCAAATGGAGCTCTGCAACTAAATCCCGTGGGCTGCAGCAAGAAAACAGACTAAAAAACAACAACAACTAAGAATGGTGGGCTCTGGCCAGGCCTCCCACAGCCAGCAATAAGTAAAGAAACACAGTCTGAAAATTCCAAGACTGGGTCGCTAAGGCATTTGTCTCTGCTGAGTTCCGAGAGGCCAAACCACACACACACACAAGAACGCATGTGCACACACATGCACACGCACACACACATACACAGGCACATGGAGCTTGGCAGCCCCTAAGTTCCAGAGCTGGTAATACAAGCCACGGAACCGACTGCCAAGACAAGCAACAGAATGAGCCAGGCCCGGTTTCATTGGCCACCATACGCTGCATATGGCCCGGGACGCAGCCAAAACAGTGTTCTCACCCTCCTCAAAGGCATAGGAGACCCTCTGTTTTCAAACACACCTCCACAGAGCCTTAATTAAAGGAAAATGGAAAAATAATGTGCCTGCTGCCCTCCCCTGCCTATATAGGTATGCACACACACATACCCATATACACTCACTCCATTTTTCTCTTCCTCCCATTTCGGTTTCAAACATAATTCATTCGCATGGAAAAAAAGCAAACTGCATCCTGCAGCAGAAAGGCAGAAAAGAATGTAGCTTGCCCTCAACCCTGGCTCTGATTGCTCAAGTTGAGCTGGAGCTGAATGAATACAGAGCAGGCCGGCCTAGAGTCGGCGTTGGCCCCTTTCTTTCCAGAGTGGAGCTGGAAACAGACACTCGAGAGAGACAGCCCATTGCAACACCAGTAGCCCCACGACAAACAAGGCCCAGAGAGCCTATTCCTGCCAGGGATTCTGCAGGTTGGAAAAAAATGCCCACACATCCTACAAACAGGTAGGGAGATGACAACAAACCCAGGGAGTCAGGAGGAGCATTCCCTGGTAGCTGCAAAAGTTAGGCAGTGGATGAGTGGGGAGACCCTTATCCAAACCCTTCCTAGGGGGCATTGTCACCACTTTGCAACACATCTCCTTGGAGGTGGCTGCAGCCAACCTAGGAGAAAAGCCAGAGGTCTACACACCCATGACTTCCTGCAGCCCACCTAGGAGAAAAGCCAGAGGTCTACACACCCATGACTTCCTGCAGCCCTTCAAATCACACAGCACCCAGCTCTTCAGGAAGATTCTGGAGCTGCCTGCAGCTCTGAACCAAAGCCAAAGTAGAAGGGAACAGAAGAGTCTTTGAGAAATCCATCCTCCCTGCTCTAAACAAGGCAAAACCTTAACCACCCAGAGGTGTGAGAATAGATTTTGCTTCTCTTCCTCGATCCTCAGGTTTATACAAAATCAGAGCCATGCTCACACCTGATACCTGGTTAAACTCTCCCCTAGAAACCTGCAAAGGAAGATAAGCTATCCATCCAAGCTGCAGCCAGATTTGCTGGAAAGGTAAAAGCAATGGGAAGTGTTTTTTAAAACCCTCAGGGAAGGAAGGTTGGGGGGAAGGGAGATGATACGCGAATGCAGTTTCTACCAAGGGCTTAAAGGACGTTTGGGTACAAATGTACCCAAACATGGTTCAAAGCTTCCCAATTCCTGATGCTCCTCCAATTAAGACCCTAGGGAGAGACCACCAAGATTTAAGCCTGGGTACACACGCCTAAGCAGGCTGCAAGCCCTTTCTGAGATATAGACCTGAGCACATTTGCCCTGAGCACACGTGGTCGGGCCATAGCCCCATGCCCTGGATTCCAACAGGGAGGGCAGCACCCTGGGCAAGGGCCACGCCATCTTGCAACTGGAGATGACCCAAGGGGGTCGGCTGATTTCTCCTTCCACCAGCCTCTCCATCCCTGCAAAAGAGCCAGGACCTCCCCATCTTCCCCAGCCTCCTCATCTTCCCTGCTCCTCCTACTGACCCAGGCAAAGCCTGGCTCTGCCATCCCAGGGTCCAGGGATCCAGGTGGAAGGCCCAATCCACCCCTACACTCTCCCACCCCCCACTGCACCCCTACCCCTCGACAACCTCCTTTGAAGGGAGGAGCAGAGGAGAGCCTTCTAAGCTGGGCTGGGCAAGGGAGAGGCTGGTTACCTACAGGAGCCTGCTTGCCTCCTTATATAACCTGGCGTGGGAGACAGGAGAGCCCAAAGGGGACCCCGGCCACCCCTAGATCCCCTCCCAGCCCAGAGCTCCGAAGCAATGGCCATGAGAGAAGCTGCCTTCATTGGATGGAAATCCCGAGCCCTTCTCAATACTCTCCTCCGGGTCCGGGTCCTCCGGGAGTCGCGCTTCCTCACTGCCAGGAGGTCCTTGTCATCCCTCCACAATCTAACCCCGACCCCAACCCCGCACCTCCCTGGCCCTTCACCCTCCACCTCCACCCGCACAGCCCATCTCCGCGGGCACTTTTCTCCCCACTCACCCCGCCTTCCCCGCCGCCCGAGGAGAGCACCTCCCTGCAAACGGACGGGGGAGGAGAGCGCGGGAGGGAGAAGGAGGGAGCACCCCGGCTGTCCAGGGAGCGGACGGAGCCTCCCGTCCCGGGGCGGGAACCAAAAGGAAGCCTCAGGCTGCCGGGCGCCTCGCGGGAGGGGCCCGGCTGCAGCGCCCGGCGCGGGGAAAGCTCGAGGTCCCTGGGCTGCGGGAGCCTCCCCGCGGGGCTGGGCTGGGGCTCCTCGCGCTCCGCCCGTGCGGGGGCGGCCGTCCCAGGTGCCCGCGCCGCGCCCTGCCCCGCCCCGCCCGTCCCGGCGCCCCCAGCGCGCGCCCTCGCACCCACCGTGCAGAAGGTGCGGGGGGAGGCGGCGCCCCCGGGGCCGGGGCCCGGCTGCAGGCGCCGTGCCCGCTCCGCGCCGCTGCCGCCCGGCCGCGGAGCTCCGCCCGGTGCCCAGGCCTGTCCCGGCCCGGGAGCCGCCGCGGCGCCAGCCCCGCCGCCGCTGCAGCGTCCGCCGCCGCCAGCGCCCCCCGTCGCGGCCGCCGAGCGTCCCTCCCGCAGGCTGTGGCGGGCGGCGGGACGGGTTGCATCAGCCCCGGCTATATAGCGGCCCCTGGGCGGCGGGGAGGGGTCGGGAATGCGGAACCGGCCGAGCTGCCAGCTCCAGACGTCAGAGGGGGACGGAGAGGAAGGGAAGGAGGGGACCGGGGAGGAGGGGGTGTGGAGCCGGCGCTTCACACCCACTGACCTTAACCTCCCCCGCCGCCTTGGGCGCCCTCCTCCCGCGGCCGCTCGCGCTCCTCTCCCCGCGGGGGCGTCCCGGGTTCCATGCAGTCCCCCGGCTCCGCCACCCCACGGTGCAGGAGCGCTCGAGAAAGCAGGACGCGGCGAGCGGTTATGTAAGCGCACCCCCCGCGCACCGCCGCCCGGCTTGTGCCCGCCAGGCAGCAGCAGCCGCAGCCCTAGGAGAGAGACGCGAGAGGCCGGAGCCGGGGGAAAAGTCAAAAGCCCCTTCACGCACAGCCTGTGTTAACCATGTACCTCAGTCCCGGCGCTTCCCCCACAAACTGAGAGCGACAGGGAGAATTTCCGCACAGTTTCATCCTTGGACACTTCAGGACTGAGCGGGTGAGGAGGCGATCTCGCCAGCCTGCTTTATTTTTCGGTGGAGAAGGATGGGCTGAGATGAAGGCATTTGGGGACTCCTACCCCTACCCACCGGCCCCCGCCAGCGCCCTTAGGCCCCGAGACGGCTGGCTGCACCAGCCTGACCTCTGCTAGGGCTGCAGCCTGAGACCGCGGCTTGCTCTACTGCTGGCGCAGTTTGACCCTTGGGCTTGTACCCTGCTCCAGCGGGCTTCTCCTTTCCACTCCGGACACAGCAGTGAGCAGACCCAGCCCTCAGCAGACCCCAAGTGGCCTTCTTCCCCGTTCCAGCTTCAATAGCCAACCCCACTCCCACCTTCCATCCTTCTAGAGAGGAAATGGTGAAGGGGACTCCAGAGGGAAGGCGACATCCATGGTGCCCTCCAGTATACAAAGGCAGAGACACAGAGCCCTCAGGTAGAACGGGGTTCCCTAGATGGCATCTCCTACCTCCAGAGCTCCTGGGTACCCATCGAGCCCCCTACCTTCTGCCTAAGCCAGATAGGAGTGACGATTTTTATACTCAGCGACTTTCGGCCTCCTTCTGAGAGTGATGTCAGGTCATCACCCATAGAAGAAAGGAAGTGAAAGAAAAAGTTCATGCCTTCTTGGAGTGCAGATGCTCAGAGTGAAAGAAACAACAAGACTTGAGACAGATGGGTGCCATTGAGCAAACCCGAACATGCATGTCTCTCTCATGTGAGTGAGTGCATGAGACTTTATTCTCCTTATTTCCCCAGTGCAGTGAAATCTTTCTGGATAAAAGAAGTGGGCTAATGGAAGGAGAGACAGACCAAGTCCCAATGACATTGCCTGACCATTTTCACCTTCGCCATCAGCAGTCTCCCTCACAGCATTGGTGTGGGCAGGTAAGAAGAAAGCAAGGCCCTGAAAGAATATACATTGGAAAATGAGCAGTAATTTGATACTCTTGTGGAAGAGCATGACTCTTCGCCCCAGAAAGGCCAATGACACCTTTACTACAGCGTAAAGATCAAAGCCAGGGACTGTGAAACTGCCTCATGATGTTTCTCCCATGAGACCTGTGTCTGGATGTTTATATGGAACAAAACATGGAACAGAGGCAATAGTACTTGATGTGTCTTCAGCTGGGGCTTTGGATAAACTAAACTGATCTATATTCAGGGACTAATAATTAGGGTGTGTGGTTAGAGCGCGTCCTCTCTAGGGCCTGTTTTGGACTGTGGCTGGGCCACCAGCAGTCCTACTGGGCCTTTGCTTCCCCCACAAATTAAATATGTTACAGGGGTGGCACCAAGGGGTGACTTGGGAGGCCTTTAGTCCCCTCTACCTCTCTATAATCTCCATTAGATCTTCTCTGTTATTTGCTATTGATGCTTTTCAGTTTCATATAGGACGCTATAAGAACACAGCTTCAAGGCCTCCCTTCCGCCACATACTCCCTACTAGGCCCCTCTACGTAGTCACTGCCTCTGGGAGTGGCTAGAGGGAGAAGCCATAAACTGGGTCCTTTATGCAGACATTGGATGCTGGATGGAGCTGATTTACCACTGGCTCTTAGGGACAGACAAGTGACTCAGCCTAAGGCAGTTTGAATTTAAGTTTCCTATCACAACTAGAAAAGTCCTGATTAACACGCCCAGCCCTAGTCAATGGGCTGATTGAGAGATCGTCACATATCCCAAGAAAATCTCACAAGACTGGGAATTTTGTGGATCTGCTGGAAAGAGAAGCTGCCAGAAGCCCCACGTGAAAGGGAACTACTGAGAGTGAAGCTAATGGGAGGAAAAGTAGAGCCAAGCCACGGAGGGAAAGACAGATCAAGTTCCAATGACATTGCCTGAGTTCCTGAATTCAGTCATGCCTGACATCATCCTGACCTCTGCAGGTTTTAGCTATAGGAATCAGTAAATTATGTCTTACCCAAGGCAGTTTGAATTTGGGTTTCCTATTACTTGCAATTAGAAAAGTCCTAATTAATACAGTGGGTTTTGCATCTCTGACTTATGTGGACTATTTCATTTTGAAGTTTAATGGAGATTGATGAATCCCGAGCTCTTTGTAAAGAGGGGAAAACTGAAATGGTGAGGTAAAATAATGAATTCCCCAGACCTGCTCCTCCAAAATCAAAGGAGAAAGTGATAGTTCTGAGTAATCAGCCAATCAATTAGTCTTTATCCTAGTATATACTGAAAACCTATTGTGCACCTTTAAGGTACACAAAGTTTAAGACATGATTTCTCACCTGTTCTATGTCCCATCTAATTAGGAAAAATGATTTACAAACTAATGAATAGCAAGACAAAGAGTAGCTAAGAGCTAATGATGCGACACAGGCTATAAGCACTGTAGGAGTTCAGACAGGATTGCTGCTCCAGTCTCTACTCAAATTGTATAGACCAAAATTGCAAACGCGTAGCTGGCAGGCTGAAAATCTGGCTTTTCTGGCTTCAACCTTAAATTTGTTTTTCTAAAAAAGACAGGCATGGTGGTGCTCACCTGTAGTCCCAGCTACTCAGGAGACTGAAGCAGAAGGATCATTTGAGCCCAGGAGTTCAAGTCTGGCCTAGGCAACATAGCAAGACCCCCATCTCAAAAAAATAATTGTAGAAAAAAATATTTTTTTAATATAGCAAAGATTTCATATAAAAAAATCTAGATTTCAAACTTCTCTTTTAAAAATATCAAAGTCAGGCAACATTGGGCATATGTAATAGTCAGGATAAGCTAGGTTTTGCTGCAGTAACAAATATCCCCCCAAACTCATTGGCTTAACAAAAGAAAGGCTACTTCCCACTCACACAAGACAACTGTGGATTGAGGTGATTCTCCAGGGCAGCTGTCTTATAGATGATGCCTCAGTATTTATACCTTCATATCAACAAGTGCATTTACAGCCACCATGGCAGAGAAAAAGAAGTAGAGAGGGCCGAACACTAGCAGTGAAATCTTTCCTCCTGAAGTGACATACATCACTTTAGCTTACGTTTCATTGGCCAAAGCAAGTCACATGGCCATCCTTAATTTCAAAGATGCAAGGAATCTCAGTCCTCCCATGGACCATGGAGGAGAAAGGAACCAGAAAATAGCAAACAATTAATATCTGCCACGGCACGCGCTTCCTTATGGCAACAATAGGCTGGAGCCCATTAGAAGCTGCCCCTTGAAATGGGACTTAAACACCCAGTTTGACAGTCTCCACCCAGCCTGCCTAGCCCTTGGGGGCATTTGATTTTGCAAGTCCTGGTAAAGATAAAGCCAATCTCAATATCAGTCTTTCAGATGTCCCTGGTGATCCGTGGAGTTATCACACAGTTTTCAAAAACAAATGTTTTGCTCTGCTTGAGACAAAAACTTATGACATGCAGAATTCTTACAATGAAAAGCAGGATGGTATCATGAAATCAAACATGAAGTTGAAACTAGCTGTTATTGTAGTCTGCAAATTACATAAACCTGTTTATGGTGATTTCTTCCTGTTGCTCTTCCCTCCATCAATCAAACACCCACCAGGAGAAACAAGCCTCCCAAGCTCTTCCCTGGAGTGGTAGTGACTTGGGAAGGGGGGCGGGGGGATGTCTAATTTAACATTTTGAAGCATTTATATATATATATGAATATACATATATATAGATGTGTGTGTCTATATAAATATTCAAGGCTAAAATATTTGAGAAGAAAACTTGTGAGCTAGGAATGGGAAGGCTTCTCTTCCAATGACCACCAATGAGAATGTTATAAAATATGTCTAAAGGTTTAAGAATAAATCAGCATCCATACAAATGCAGCCATCTCTTGGAAAAGCCTAGTGTCTTCTCTTTAATCTCCTAACACAATAAAGTTTTTGGAGGATGAAGAAATGGTAACTTCTCTGGTTAAAATGCTGGAGCAGGCTGAGTGTGGTGGCTCACACTTGTATCTAGCACTTTAGCTGGCCAAGGTAGGAAGCCAGCCTAGGAAACATAGCAACACCCTGTCTCTACAAAAACAAAAACAAAACAAAACAAAACTTATTAAAAACAAAAAACAAAAAAATGGGGCATGGTGACATGTGCCCATAGTCCAGCTATTTGGGAAGGTGAGGCAGGAGGATGGCTTGAGCCCAGGAGTCTGAAGGTCTGAAGTTACAGTGAGCTGTGACCACTCCACAGCACTCCAACCTAGGTGACAGAGTGAGACCACCCTGTCTCAAAAAAAAAAAAAAAAAAAAAAAAGACCAGGTATGGTGGCTTATACCTGTAACCCTAGCACTTTGGGAGGCTGAGGCAGGAGGATTGTTTGAGCTCAGGAGTTCAAGAGCAACCCGGGCAATACAGTGAGATCCCATCTCTATTAAAAAAAATGCTGGGGCAGGTGGATTTAGGGAGAGGAGGAGTATAGTTGATATATGTTGTTCTCAGCATTCCTTTCTTTGGAGAACCACTTCTCTCCCTCTTCCCTGTGGCCCTGGAGGGGCGTCATTGCCCCCATCCAGATGTGAGGGGTGCAACCTGAATTGGCCAATTACAGTAGTCCATATCCAAAGCCATAGTGATTGGTTCAGGGATGAGCACATGACTCAAACAGGGCCAATTAGAGTGTTCCTTGAGATTTGACATCTAAATACCAAGGAAGAGAGGGGTTCCTTTCCTTTAAAATACCAGTGTATGAAGGTAGTTTGTGGCTGTGGATGGCCATTTTTTCTGTCATGTGACAAAAGCCTACCTGAGAAAGAAACCAACACAGAGAGTAAAAGAGAGCCAAGACATGGAAAAAGAGAAATAGGCATGAGATTATCATTTGAGTTCCTGAATCTCTAATATGCCATGAAAACATGCTGAATTGGTCTTAGAACTTCACAGTATTGGAGTTAATATAGCGCCTTTCTCTTTCTTGCTAAGGTGGTTTGAGTCAGGTTTTCTGACAATGGTCAATAAAAGAATGCTGAAGAATACGTGAATAAAATGACCCAAAGTCAAGCTTATAAAGGAGTGCTCAACTGACACCATGGAATTTTATCGGTTTGCTATTCTTGCCTCATCTATCACATGCCACTCAACCTCTGCGAGACTAAATACAGAACTGTACTGAGTGCCTTCTCACCGCTCAGGATTCAGTTAGTCATTTAAATGACTTAGTCAGACAATCTTGTTTGAAGTTTGCTATGAGCCATGCACCACGTGCCACCCTATTTGAGGAGGCCAAGCAAAAACGAAGAGATCATCCCTGCCCATAAAGGATGACAGACTAGAGGCCCAAGAAGATGAATAATATTCATAAAAAATGGGGAAATGAGGACACGAGTGATTTAGGGAAAACCCGATGCATATGCATTCTGCTTCCAGAATATTATGTTTTAAAATGTGTCCTGAAAACACATGGAGAGAGGATAAAAGGCCCAGGTTGAGGATGTCATTGTGTAGGTCATCCATATATAGGGGGTTCCTGAAGTTGACACCAGGATCGTAAATCCTGATCAAACTTTTTTAGATGAAAGATGATGTTTTAGTCATATTAAATTTTAAATCATAGGTGATTAACAAATAAATCTTGGGTTAATAAATGAATGAATGAGTGAGGCCAGGCACAGTGGGTCATGCCTGTAATCCCAGCACTTCAAGAGGCCACGGTAGGAGAATCGCTTGAGGCCAGGAAATTGAGGTATGCCTGGGCAAGATAGCAAGATTCCATTTCTACGAAAATAAAATAGCCCATCGTGGCTGGGAGCGGTGGCTCACGCCTATAATCCCAACACGTTGGGAGGCCTAGGCAGGTGGATCACCTGAAGTCAGGAGTTTGAGACTAGCCTGGCCAACATGGTGAAACCCTGGCTCTACCAAAAAATACAAAAATTAGCTGGGCATTGTGCCACGCACCTGTAATCCCAGCTTCTGGGAAGGCTGAGGTGGGTGAATCACTTGAACCCAGGAGGCGGAGGTTGCAGTGAACCAAGATTTTATCACTGCACTGCAGACTGGATGACAGAGTGAGACCCTGTCTCAAAAAACAAAAACAAAAACAAGCCAGGTGTGGTGGCACACACCTGTAGTTGCAGCGACTTGGGAAGCTGAGACAGGAGGTTCATCTGAACCCAGGAGTTTGAGGCTGCAGGGAGCTATGATTGCACCACTGCACTCCAGCCTGGTCTACAGAGCAAGACCCTATGCTTTAAATAAATAAGTAAATAAATATATAAATAAATAAACAGAAGCTAGTCTAGAACTCAGTCTTAGGAGATAAAGGAGTTAGGAGACAAAAGGTGTCCTAGAAGATCAAAGAAAGAAAGGCACAATCACAAAATCGCAAGTCTCCTCAAATCCCTTCTCCTTTAACACAGGCTTCCCAACTATCATGAAGGTCAAACCAGGTTGTCAGAGATAAGATCTGAGATGAGTTTGTGGTATTTGCTCAGATCTGAAAGAGTACATTATAGCTATAAAAATGTACAGTCTAGAGAGGCCTCAAGTTATTTTTAAGAGAGGGTTTAATCTGAAAATACATGCATTAGATATTATACTACAAAGATGTTTTCACTTTGCACTCACACAATGCTGCTTCTAGGAAAACCGAAGACCCTTCTCCACTTTTTTCTTTCTTCTTCATCCCCGTCTCCCACTCCCAGAAGATGTTGCTATATAGGTTGGTTAGATTCTTCCATAAAATGTTTGGGGCTGGGTGTGGTGGCTCACACCTGTAATCCCAGCACTTTTGGAGGCTGGGGTGGATGGATCACCTGAGGTCGGGAATTTGAGGCCAGCCTGATCAACATGGTGAAACCCCATCTCTACTAAAAATACCAAAAATATTAGCCAGACATGGTGGCAGGTGCCTGTAATCTCAGCTACTCGGGAGGCTGAGGCAGGAGAATAGCTTGAACCCAGGAGGCGAAGGTTGCAGTGGGATGAGATCACGCCATTGCACTCCAGCCTGGGCCACAAGAGCGAAACTCCATCTCAAAAAAAATAAAAAAGAGTTTGGGCCTCAGTTTCCTCAACAGTTAAATGTGGACAATAATGGTGCCTACATTAGAGGGTTTATGTGAAGATTAAATACGATCTTATGAAGCACCATATCAATACCTGCCACAAGCCCAATACATTTGGCTGTGTTCGTCACCACCACCACCATCACCATCATAACCATCAACATTATGGTTCAGTCAGCTCAAGTCCCCTACTTTGTCACCTTCTCAGATGGGTCAAACCCACAGGGATTTCTCCCTCTTCTGACCTTAACTAGCATTTCCCTTCTAACATCTAATCATATGCCATTTAAAATTTTTCTCCTTATTTCACATATGCATTATCATTCCAACATGCTTGAAGTTATCAGTAGGGACAGTATCTTAAAATTTTTAAACTCCTATAGCACCTACCATGTGCTGAGCTTATGTTTGGCACTCAATGTGCCAAATATATGATTGCATTTATTTAAATAAAAATGGAAGGAAATCATTTCTTTTGTGTCCCTGATAATGTTGAAAGCAGTCTGGGCTCTTGGCACTTAAAGAATACTTGTTGAACAGATGCTTGTTGAGCAGAGATGTAATTATCAGTCACACCTTATGCAGCACAAACTTGTAGAATATTAAAGCAAGGAAGAGGCCATATTTTACAGATGAGGAAATTGAGGTCCCCACTGATGACACAGATCTCATTGAACAAAAGTTATGGTGGAAATAATTCTCAGGACTCTTTTTCTGCTATGCATTTTAAAACAACCACCAATAAAAAGTTATTTCAGCAAATGTTTATTGAAGGGGAAAAAAAGTCCCTTTAGGTTTTCTGCGGGAGGTAGCGTTTCCTCTTACACTCAACAATTTGGTGGTGTGGTAGAGAGAGGTGTAGGGAGGAGCCAAGGAGGCCCCTATGACTGGGCTGTTGTGTGGGCCTAGGCGGGGGAGGGGTGGGATTTTCACTTCTTGGAAGGCTCTTCCAGCTCCAGGCAATCCGGGCCAGGTTTTGACACCTGCATGTCTCAGCACCCTGCCCTAAGTCAGCCAAAGTGTACCTTCTAGAGAGCCGCCCTCCCCGCTGAGTCCCTGGGCTCCTGGAAACTCACCCCCTGAGACCAGAATAGGTCCCCATAGACCAGAAAAGGCCCCCACACTCGGAACTGGAGGAATTGGCTCTCCTTAAAAAACGAGGATATGATTTTGCAATTAGAATGCACTCCTGTAAGAGGAGACACCTCTGCGCTGGCCTCAGGGGTGAGCTGGAGGTGGGAGGTGGGCGCTGAGGGCGGTCAGAAGGCCTCTGGAGGGGACCTTGGGACAAGGGCTTCTTTGGTAGCCCTGGCCAGGTTCACAGGCTTCCTTTCAGGTTTTGTGCCCACGATTCCCCCACCCATCTCCTCCCGCCAGCGTTTCTCTATCTCTTAAATACACCTTCCTAATCCTCTCCTTCCTCCTTTTTAAAGCCAGCCTTTCCTTTCAAATACTTCCTCAAATGCCAGCTTGTTATGTTTGTGCCCTGCCGTGTACGAGAGTATATTTCAGACCACAGAGTTGGATTTTTATTCATTCCTTCATTCAGTCATTCATTCATTCATTCATTCAATAAATATTTGATTATTTCTATGTGCAGGGCTCACAGCATCATGAAATGATGAGAAAGACTGGCCCAGTCCTTAGGTGGATGAATAATTAGCTAATTAACTAAATAATTATAAGCATAAAAGGGAGTTTTGAGAGGTGTTAAGAGACAGGTAGAAAAACAATTGGATCATTGGAAACTTGAAAAGAAAAATTAAAAAATAATAGTTAAAAATAAATAAATAAAAACCATTGGAACCAGCCTTCCTCCCTTTGTCGGAAACTCTTAATCAAATCAGCTTGGTGCCCTGGGACTATCCCACTCCACTGGCACAGGAGCAGTTACCCTTTTAAAAGCTCTTCCTACATGGCCTGGCACAGTGGCTCACACCTGTAATTTCAGCACTTTGGGAAGTCAAGGTGGGAGGGTCATTTGAGGTCAGGAGTTGGAGACTAACCTAGGCAACATAGCAAGACTCTGTCTCCACAAAAAATAAACTTTAAAAAGTTAGGGGGCAAAAAAAGAATAAAAAGTCATCCTAAGTAACTTGTTTTGGGGCAAAGAAATTCCTTCTACCTTTCCTTCTTCCCACAGGTCAGAGTTTCAGAGCTAGAGGGGGTCTTTTCAGACTCCACTGCCCAGCCATAATTCTTCCAGACCCACTGGCCCTGTTGGTGTCTCAGATTGGCCATTTACACAGTTTTCGCATGTCTGGTCTTTTAAGATTAATGTATCATACAAGGCAGTAGGATACAGTGGCAAATAAAGAGTGTGGACTCTGGGACTAGACTGCCTCTGTGTGCATCCTGTCTCCGATGCTTACTAGCTGTGTGGCCTTGGGCAAGTTACTTAACCTCTACATGCTCAATTTCATCATCATTAAAATGGAGTGTGTATGATAATACCCAATCCATAGGAGTGTCATGAAGGTTTAATGAGTTCCTGCCCACTTGGAACAGTGCTTACCACATAGTAAGGGCTCAGGAAGGCAGCTCTTGGATGCTGTGGTTTGGCCCTCCCCCAGCAAGATGTCCAGCCATGGCTCCTAAAACTCAGCCTGGCTCAGAGTCTCAGGCTGCTGCTTGCCTAGGAGGAGAGGCTGAAACTTTTTTCAAGGGACAAGCTGCTGGCAGTAAGACTGCCTGGATGCTAAATAAACAAAGGCACTGAAAGATATGTTGTCTCTAACACCAGGCGCCTCCCCAACTGTCCATTGCTCAATGAGAAGGGAGCCCAGAGACCTAGTTTTAACCCATTTATGCCAGAAGTTGCAATTTTTTTGTGTGAAAAATTAGAACTTAGCAATGACTTTGAGCAGTAGAATATAAATAACTCCCATAAGCTTAGTGTTCCAGTAATGGAACACTAGGCATAAATGGGGTAAGCAGGGCTCTCACTTACACCTGACTTCTTCTGTGACTCTATAAACAAAGATCATTTCTATGCTTCAATTCCATTTTTTAATGGCAGAGAATAATATTTGTAGAATCATGGAGTTTGAATGAACATTGGTCTTAGACATTCCATATTACAACATCCTAATTTTCTTTCTTTTTTTTTTTCACCCTGTTGACCAGGACCCTTAATTTTCCATCTAGGAAACTGAGAGCCATAAAAGTCATATAACATAGGCAGCCTGGGGTGGTGGAAAGAGTGCTAGATTTAAATCCCAGGGCCACGGGTTCTTCTCTGAGATTCATTATCCCCTTTGGTAAAGGGGAGGGTAGTGATTCCTACCGTGTAGGGTCACCGTCAGGACTAAATAAGATCAAACATAGATGTGCCTAACCCCAGGGCTACTTGTGGTTGGGTAGGGACTGAATAAAGGCATTTCCCAATGTTGCTTGACTGGTTGGTAATCCCTTCCTTACCTTTTTCACAAGGTTTCCAAAAGAATAAGGCAAAGCAAAGAAGAAAGACTTCTTTGAGGTCCATGTGTAAAAACTTAGTTTCTGGTTCTTGGAGGTTTCTCTTTTGGGACTAGGCCTCTCCAAGAAGAAAGGGCTACCATTTTCAGTGGAAAGTGAGATGACACCACTAGACCTTCTGTCAGAAGAAGTCTTTGGAGTTGCCTTTTGGGGACATCCATTCCTTGGGTTTGTTGTTGTTGTTGTTTGAGACAGGATCTCACTCTATTGCCCAGGCTGGAGTGAAGTAGCGTGATCTTGGCTCACAGCAACCTCCGCCTCCCAGGTTCAAGGGATTCTCCCACCTCAGCCTCCCAAGTAGCTGGAGCTACAGGCACGCGCCACCATGCCCAGCTGATTTTTGTACTTCTTGGTAGAGATGGGTTTCACCATGTTGGCCAGGCTGGTCTTGAACACCTGACCTCAGATGATCCGCCTGCCTCGGCCTCCAAAAGTGTTGGGATTACAAGCGTGAGCTGCCATGCCTGGCCACTCCTTGGGTTTTTACAGGTTGTGGCCAAATGAATCTTAGTTCAAGTATGACTTCTTGGTCTTTTGGGTCAAGGTCGACTGTAATACCTGCTCTTAATTATATTAATACCTGGTTCTTTATCTGAAAACAGCATATCTCAATTTAGGTTCTTGGGGCCTAGAAAGTATGTGTGCTTTAAAAGGAAACCCTAAATCACCCATGCAAACTACTTGTATTGATATGCATATGTATAAATCCCAAGCACAATTACGGCATTAGAGCTATTTGGGAAAATGTTCCATCAATATTAGATGCATTTAAAGTAAGCAACAGAACATCAGAGTTCATCGAGGGTTCTCAACTAATATCTCAGAGGCAGTGGTGCCCCTGGGAAGGTGATTCCCTGATGATATGATCCCCTGAAGACTGAACACCCATCTTGGCCTAGTCTAGGACTGAGCTTTCTTCCCCACAGGGACATCAGAAGCAGCACAATGCTTGACTACTTAAGAGAAGAAGGGGAATTGGGGTCTCTACCAAGGCACTCAATCAAATAAGACATGGGTATATCACTGTTTTTCCTGCCTAGTCTGTTGTCATGGGCCCATCAAGAGGTATTTTCTCTGAGCCTCAGAACGTGGGTAGATTTGAAAGCTCTGACTCTGAAAAAGGTCTTCCACCTCAACACAGTGGAGAGAATTAGTCCTTGTCTGGTGTCTGACTGTCCATCCTGAGTGCAAGGGATTGCTCTGTCCAAAAGGTAGTGACAGCCAATCAATTGGAATCAGCTCTTCAAAAGGTCCACTTGTTAAATGATAACTAATACTGGTTGACTGCTTAGCACTATGCTACATGCTTTAGATTTATTAATTCACTTAATCCTCACAGAAACTTGCAGCGCAGGCACTATTATTATCCCTATTTTACAGATGAGGAAACTGAGGCACAGAATGTTTAGCTAACTTGTTGATGGTCACAGCTAGTTATAAGTCAGAGCCAGGACTCAAACCCAGGGAGTGTAGCCCCAAAGCCTGTGCTCTTGATCGCACATAATACAGCATTTTTGGTTGCTTGTTTGTTTTATTTTAAATTGACATTGTTTCTTAGAGCAATTTTAAAGCAAAATTGAATGGAAGGTATAGAGATTTCCCACATACCCCTGTCTCCCCCATTACCAACATCCCCCACCACAGTGGTAACATTTGTTACAACAGATAAACCTACATGAACACATCATCACTCAAAGCTCACAGTTTCATTAGGGTTCATTCTTTGTGTTACCTTGTATGGGTTTAGGCAAATGTATAATGACACGTATCCACCACTGTAGCATCATACAGAATAATTTCATTGCCAAAAAACAATCCTCTGTTCTCTGCCAGTTCATCCCTTCCTTTCTCCTAACCATGGCAACCACACTGATCCTTTTACTTCTCCTTTTACTGCCTTTTCTAGAATGTCACACAGTTGGAATTATACAGTTTGTAGCCTTTACAAACTGGCTTTTGTCACTTAGTAATATGCATTTACAGCTCCTCTATGTCTTTTTTTTTTTTTTTCTTAAGACGGAGTCTCGCTCTGTCACCCAGGCTGGAGTGCAGTGGCGTGATCTTGGCTCACTGCAAGCTCCACCTCACGGGTTCACGCCATTCTCCTACCTCAGCCTCCCAAGTAGCTGGTACTACAGGCATCCGCCACCACGCCCAGCTAATTTTTTGTATTTTTAGTAGAGACGGGGTTTCACTGTGTTAGCCAGGATGGTCTCGATCTCCTGACCTCATGATCCACCTGCCTCGGCATCCCCTCTATGTCTTTTCATGGCTAGATACCTCATTTATTTCTTAGCACAAATAATAGTTCATTGTCTGGATGTACCACAGTTTATTTATGTACTCACCTACTAAAGGATATCTTGGTTGCTTGTGAGTTTTTGGTAATTGTAAAGAAAGCTGCTATAAGCATCCGTGTGCAGGTTTTTGTGTGGATCTAAGTTTTCACTCCCTTTGGGTAAATACCAAGGAGCACAACTGCTGTATCATAGGTTTAGTTTGGCAAAAACTTGCCAAATCATCTTCCAAAGTAAGTGACCATATCAGCTTGCATTCCCACCCGCAATGAATGGTGAGTTCCTGTTGCTCCATGTCCTTACCAGCATTTGGTGCTGTCAGTGTTCTGTATTTTGACCATTGTAATAGATGTGTAGTGGTATCTCACTGTTATTTTAATATTCATTTCCCTGATGACATATGATGTTGAGCATCTTTTTATATGCTCATTTGCCATCTATATACCTTCTTTGGTGAGGTGTCTGTTCAGGCCTTTTGCCCATTTTTTAACTGAATTGTTCATTTTCTGATCATTGAGTTTTACAGTACAGTGTTTTTAGGGGCGTGCTTATGGAAGTCATAGAATATCATGGATGAGAGGACTCCAAAACCATCCAGTCCATTTCCCTCATTTTACATATGTGAAAAATAAGCCTCAGAAACACAGAGGTAAAGCTGATACCAACGCCCACGAGTTCTGTGCCCCTTCAGCAGAGTGCATGTGATGGGGCCATTTGCTTGGTGAGCAGTTAGTGCCCGGGTACAGGAGTCACACCTGGCCGTCTGTCTGTCCTTCCCCCACACAGTGCCTGGCACACGTTCAGTGAGTGTGTGGGGGAGGAAGGAAGGAAGGAATGACCTTCCTCTGCCATCTATGTTCCCTTTCCAAACATCTGGCCCTTCTGACCTCTGCTCTAACCAGTGAGAGGAGAGAAGAGAATTAACATTCTAGATGTTCCACGGTGCAATGGTGGGGGCAGAAGCCAGGTCAGTGTAATTTTTTTTTTTTTTCTGAAACTGAGTCTCGCTCTATCGCCCAGGCTGGAGTGTTGTGGCATGATCTTGGCTCACTGCAACCTCCACCTCCCGGGTTCAGTTGATTCTTGTGCCTCTGCCTCCTGAGTAGCTGGGATTACAGGCACCCACCACCACACCTGGCTAATTTTTGTGTTTTTAGTAGAGACAGGGTGTCACCATATTGGCCAGGCTGGTCTTGAATGCCAGACCTCAAGTGGTCTGCCCACCTCGGCCTCCCAAAGTGCTGGGATTACAGGCGTGCACCACTGCGCCTGGCCTCGTGTAATTCTTAACCTTGCTGTGCACCAGCATCACCTATGGACCTTGTTAAAAACTGGATGCCAGAGCCCATCTCTAGGCATTCTGATTCCATACATCATTTTCATGTTTGCTGTGTCCCAGGTCCTGGGCTAAGCCCTTTAAACATGTTATCCTAGTTAATCCCTTCTCATGCAATTCTTTGATATGACCTTGTTATCACCCTCACTCTGCAAATGAGGAAACTGGAGTTCAGAAAGGTTAAGGAACTCGTCCAGGGTTACACACCTAGTTTCTGTTGGAGCCAAGATATAAATAAAAACAACCCAACTGCTGTTAGAGTTGCTGGCCGGCCTCTCTCCTGCACATGCACACACACTGAGATCTTTACACTCAACCCTGTGCAACCCTGCATTGTGAGCCCCTGAGCAGCAAATGGCAGGGAGCACCAGATCATTCTACAGGGGCCCTGAGAGCTCGACATGAACACCAGCCCCTGCATTCTAATTTGCAACCATTCAGAGAAAGCCCTCATTCTTTTATTTTAAAAAATATTTAAGTCAATTTCCAAATTGAAGTATAATATACAAACCAAAAAGCACACAAATCTCAAGTGTATAGCTCAATGAATTTTCACAAAGTGGACACACCTGGTATGTTAGTCCGTTCAGGCTGCCATAACAGAATACCATGGACTCAGTGGCTTATAAACAACGGAAATGTATTTCTCATCATTCTGGAGGCTGGGAAGTCCAAGATCAAAGTGCCAGAAGATTTGGTGTCTGGTGAGAGCCCACTTCCTGGCTCATAGTTGGCCATCTTCTCCCTGTGTCCTCACATGGTAGAAGGAGAGAGCTCTCCAGGGTCTCTCTCTCTCTCTCTCTTTTTTTTTTTTTTTTTTGAGACAGAGTCTTGCTCTGTCACCCAGACTGGAGTGCAGTGGCCCGATCTTGGCTCACTGTAACCTCCACCATATTGGTCAGGCTGGTCTTGAACTCCTGACCTCAAGTGATCTGCCCACCTCGACCTCCCAAAGTGCTGGGATTATAGGCATGAGCCACTGCACCCGGGCTGTGGTCTCTTTTAAAAGGGCATTAATCCCATTCATGAGGACGGAGCCCTCATGAGCCAGTCACCTACCAAAGGCCCTACTTCCTAATACCATCACTTTGGGGGTTAAGATTTCAACATGGGAATTTGGGGAAACAAACATTCAGTCTCTAGCACCTGGTAACCCACGCCACTTCTTTTTGGTACGATGTTATCACTGTGATTGGGTGGCATCTCCAGTTATCTTAAGGGGTTCCATTGAAGAATTTAAAGCAAACACTTTTTAAATTGAATTTCATGTCACGGATAACTGTCCTTTTACAGAAAGGATATTACAAAAACAAAAGAAAAAGCAAGTAGCAATAACAACAAAAGCAACAGAGCATTGCAAGTCTAAAAAGACTGGAAATCACTACATTCCTATTTTAAATAAAATGTGAACTTTTTAGGTGTCAGGTTGATATTCATTCCCATACTTAGACCAGGCATGGTGGCTCACACCTAAAATCCTAGCACTTTGGGAGGCCAAGGCAGGAGAATCACTTGAACCCAGGAGATCAAGACCAGCAACACAGGAAGACCTCATCTCTACAAATAACTTTTTAAAAATTATCCAGGTGTGGCAGCACGTGCCTGTGGTCCCAGATAGTTGGGAGGCTGAGTCAGGAGGATCACTTGAGCCAGGGAGGTTGAGGATGCAGTGGACCACAATCAAGCAACTGCACTCCAGCCTGAGCAACAGAGCGAGACCCTGCCTCCAAATTAATTAATTAATTAAAATTTAAAAATATATTCCAAATACTTAAATTATGGAAGGGGTGCCTCTTCACCTTTAAACAAATTGGTTTTCTTCCCAGGTCATTCAATGCAGAAGTGGCAGTGAAGGGGAAGACCCCACCACCTGGAGCCTTGTTTAAATTTCCTATGGTTAAGTTTATCCATATCACCATGTATGAGTGGCTCTGCTCGCAGAGGTCAGCCAGAAAGGCAGGATGCTAATGGTTCCAGCCCAGGCTCAACAATCAGACAAGCTGGGCTCAAGTCCAGGTTCTACCACAGCCCAGCTCAGTGACCCTGGGCAGGCCACTTCATTTCCACGAACATCAGTGCCCTCGTGTGTGAAATGAGTCCTTGTGTGTACCCTCTGTGATCGTAGTGAGGATAAATGAGGCATGTCAAGTGTTTATTACAACGCCCGGCAGGTTGATGAACTACTCCCTAGTCGCTATTATGATTCCTGCGTCCTATATCATGGAAAATATGCAGGAAAAGAGGGTAGTCCATGTGGATTCAGCATCAAGGCAGGGTGGAAGGGAGACAGTGAAGGGAAATTCATGGAATAAATTCCTACCTACAGGAGATGTTTGTCACTTGCCTTCAGGCCCTGAGTCAGATATCACTGATGCTTGGAAAATATTGAAGGGGCAAGTTTATTACTGCAGGTCAGCAAAGAGGTTTCCGTGTTGAGTCAGAAATAAAAATGTTGATTCCTGGGTTGAATCCTGGAAGCCTACAGTGTCAAAGCCAGTAATAGGGTGGTCCCTTAATCTAGAGGGTCTCTCAACCCAGTCTAAATCAACACTGTCAGCCAGGAAGTTACAGCTTGTCTTCAGAAACACTCAGATCAGCATAAGATTGGCTCAAGGACGGGTTGCCATGACAACCAGGGGTCAGTTTGAACCTCCCCTCCCTGCCACACACACACACACACACACACACACACACACACACACCACTACTCAGGCCTATCTTGCCAAGTGCCTGGCTCTCAGAGCCACAGAAGCTGGGGTCCTGTAGGTAGAAGAGAGCACGTGTCCCTACCCATTCTGCCACTCTGCACAGCACTTGAAGCTCACAGCTCCCCAGGAGCCTTATTAAACTGTACTTGATGGAGCTGAAGGCACTCTCAGGATAATTGCTCTCTCAAAATAGCTCGCTGGAAATGATCAGCTGTGGGGCCCCCGGGAACCAGGTGGGAAGCTAAACTTGGGCTCATCAAAGCACCAGGGAGAAGGGGTCCTCAGTGAATCAAACACCTTCATTCTACCCCTGTCTGTCCTGTCCCCTCAATGTCCTCCCGTAGAACTGGCCTACTAAACTCTCCCCACTCTGGTGTTAGAAAATAAAAGTTTAGGGGATTCTATTTCCCAGGGGTTTTGCAGACTAATGGCTCTTGAAAATTAAAATACTTTCAGCCTCAAGGAAGAAATCTCTTAATAGGGGAATTTCAGACTCCTGGAAATGGTGACAGACAGGGGTGGGAGTAGGAAGCAGGTGGGGAATGGTTCAGGGACACAGTGAGAAACCCCTTTACCCAGAAGACTACAGTTCAGGTTTAAAAGTCCAGCGGGTCTGGGTTTGAGTCCTTCCTATGTGACTTTGACTAGGAACCTCAGTTCTCATGTCTGTAAAATGGGGCCATAACACTTAACTTGTACGGCTGTTAGTACGAAGTCTGACACAGTATCTCAAGGCCTCAAGGCAGGACCAGCCAAGAACACTATTGTGGACCCCCAGCCAAGGACCACAGTTGGTCTGACAGTCGGGGCCCGGACCAGGCTGTTCATCAGTAGAACTACGTCCTGCTACAGGAGTAGACAATGGTGGAGAGAGGGGCCTGAAAGAGGAGCAAATTAAATAGCCAATGCAGGGATGCAATTATAAGTTGTTGGTGTTTTTTTCTCCCAATGGAGGAGGCTGAGAAAACTTGAGAGCACTGAACACTCAGAGTAGAAAGAACGAGAGGAGGCGCCAAAGAGGGCAGAGACAGGGAAGAGGGAGGACACCTGCCCAGTCAGTCACTCCCTGGCCTGGGACTCCCAAGACAGAACCACTGCCAAGTAAAATGGGTCAAGGGAAGAGAAGGCAGCTGACAAAAGACTTGCTGTCTCAGCAGGATGTCTCAGGCATGGCAGTGGCCAGTTTTAATATGAATGATGTATGGCCGCCCATACCACAAAGCTATCGACTGCTGCTCTAGCTAAAATGGGCTGGCTCTTATAAAACCAGTGTAGCTGCTAGTCACAGGGGTTGCTGAGCTAGGAAGAAGAATCCCAGTCAATCTGGGGGAGATCTAGATTTGAGACCAGCCCCCTAGGCCCCCCACTCCACCACTTGGTAGGGCCATTAAATCATGGTCTGCTAATCCCTTCCCAGGGAGGAGTCAAGGCACAGCAGCCTCTTTAACACAAAGGTTTCAGGAGAAGCAGAAAGGCCTAGAGCACTATGGGGTTGCTGTCATGGGCAAAATCAGCTACCTCCCAGCAGGGAGAGGAGAGACCCCAGGCCCCACAGGCCAGGCCCTGCAGCCAGACAGGGTCCCTGCCTTCCATAATTGTTTGTGGGAGGCCTTTGCACCCTCTGCCTAGATTTCTCTTCCTCTGAGTCCTCACTCTTCACCTCTACCCCCTTTAGTCTGGCTAACTCCTCACCCTTCAGATTTCAGTTCTGGAGGCACTTCCTCAGAGAGACCTTTTCTGACCACCACCCACCGTGACATTCGTCAATTCATGGACACTCTGTACACCGGGGATCTCCACTCTGTGGCTGTTGCCACAGTTGGAATTCTTTGTGTAGATTTTTTTTTTTTTGAGACGGAGTCTCACTCTGTCACCCAGGCTGGAGTGCAGTGGCGTGATCTTGGCTCACTGCAAGCTCCACCTCCCGGGTTCACGCCATTCTCCTGCCTCAGCCTCTCAAGTAGCTGGGACTACAGGCACCCGCCACCACGCCTGGCTAATTTTTTGTATTTTTAGTAGAGACGGGGTTTCACCGTGTTAGCCAGGATGTTTTCGATCTCCTGACCTCGTGATCTGCCAGCCTTGGCCTCCCAAAGTGCTGGGATTACAGGCATGAGCCACCGCGCCCGGCTAGATTTTTTTTTTAAATTATTGACTATCTTTCATGGCAAACCATGAGCTCCTTGAGAGCAGGAGCCTAGGCTGGTTTTGCTCCCTGCCCCACCCCCAGTACCTAGCTTTGTGCCTCATACATAATGGGAGCTTGACAAATAGTAAGAGCTAGACCATGTCAAACTGACAATATTCAGCTGTTTTTGACCTATAAAATGGCCATTTCATAGGATTCATCCTAACATTAATTGAATGAATGAATCGATCAATCCATTAGATTTTTCCTGAGCACCATCCCCTGCAGCACGGATCTCAGTACGAGGAGGGTCGACTTTGGGCCTGTTCAAAAGGGCAGTTTTCCCGAAATTATAAAGAACTGAGTATCTGCAAGAAGCCAACAACATATGAAGAAATGCTCACCACTCATCATCAGAGAAATGCAAATTAAAGTCACAATGAGACACCATCTCACACCAGTCGGAATGGCCATTATTCATTATTTTTAAAAGTCAAAAAACAACAGATAT
The DNA here is from genome assembly GCF_000001405.40 of Homo sapiens. Lineage (NCBI taxonomy): Eukaryota > Metazoa > Chordata > Mammalia > Primates > Hominidae > Homo > Homo sapiens. Next base: position 75,408,048 of record NC_000014.9, on the reverse strand, counting down.
TGGCAAAGATGCAGAGAAAAGGGGATGCTTTTTTTTTTTTTTTTTTTTTTTTGAGACAGAGTCTCGCTCTGTCGTTCAGGCTGGAGTGCAGTGGCGCGATCTCCACTCACTGCAAGCTCCGCCTCCCTGGTTCACGCCATTCTCCTGCCTCAGCCTCCCGAGTAGCTGGGACTACAGGCGCCCGCCAACACGCTTGGCTAATTTTTTGTATTTTTAGTAGAGACGGGGTTTCACCGTGTTAGCCAGGATGGTCTCGATCTCCTGACCTCACAATCCGCCCTACTCGGCCTCCCAAAGTGCTGGGATTACAGGCTTGAGCCACCACGCCCGGCCTGAAAAGGGGATGCTTTTATACTGTTGGTGGCAGGGTAAATTAGTACCACCTCTACGGAAAAAGCATGGAGATTTCTGAAAGAACTAAAAATAGAACTACAATTTGGTCCAGCAATCCCACTACTGGTATATACACAAAGGAAAAAAAAAAAGGCATTATATAAAAAAGACACCTGCACTCATGTGTTCGTTGCAGCACTATTCACAATAGCAAAGACATGGAATCACCCTAAGTGTCCATCAGTGGATGACTGGATAAAGAAAATGTATCTATACATGGTATTCCATGGAGTACTACTCAGCCATAAGAAATAAATAAAATCATGTCTTTTGCAGCAACATGGATGAAACTAAAGGCCATTATCTTAAGTGAAATAACCCAGAAACAAAAAGCCAAATACCATATGTTCTCACGTGTAAGTGGGAGCTAAATAATGTGTACAAATTGATATAGAAAGTAGAATAATAGACACTGGAGACTTGGCAAAATGGGAGGGTGGGAGGAGGGCAAGAGATGAGAAATTACGTAATGGGTACAATATACACTGTTTGGGTGATGGTTACACTCAAAGCCCAGATTTCACCACTGTACAATATATCAATGTAATAAAACTGCACTTGTACTTCCTAAATCTATTTTAAAAAGAAAAAGAACTGAGTATCTGGTCCCTAGTCATAGTCTAGTCTTAAGCAATGCTTCTCACACTTCAGTGTGCATTCAGAGCACGCTACGGTTTGAATGTGTGTCCCCTCCAAAACTCCCCAATGTGGCCATATTGAGAGGTGGGGCCTTTAAGAGGTGATTGGGTAATGAGGGCTCTGCCCTCATGAATGTATTAATTTATTCATAGCTTAATGGATTAATTGGTTAATAGATTAGTAGGTTATCATGAGAATGGGACTGGTGGCTTTCTAAGAGAAGGAGAAAACCAGGCACAGTGGCAAGCATCTGTAAACCTAGCTACTTGGGAAGTTGAGGTGGGAGAATTGCTTCAGGCCAGGAATTCAAGACCAGCCTGGGGAACATAATGAGACCCTGTCTTAAAAAACAGAGAGAGAAAAGGAAGAAAGGCCTGTCTATCACACGCAGTCCCCCTGCCATGTGACGCCTTGTGCTGCCTTAGGACTCTGCAGAGTCCCCAACAGCAAGAAGGCCCTCACCAGATGCAGCCCCTTGACCTTAGACTTTTCAGCCTTCATACCTGTAAAACAAATGTCTTTTATTTATAAATTAACAAGTTTCAGGTATTCTGTTATAAGCAACATTAAAGGGGCTAAGACAGAGTCCCCAGGGATCTTATTAATTTGCAGATTCTGATTCAGCAGATCCAGGGTAGGGCTTGAGAATCTGCATTTCAAACCAGCTCTCAGGTGACTCCGATAAGGAAGCAGCCAGAGGGAGGGAGGCCAAAATGCAGACTTTGAGCTGGCTGGCGAAGGTCCTCAGTGTCATACCATGGAGCTTCCATAAGGGCTCCTCTCTCTTTTTTTCAGGATTTGGAAATTTGTTTGAAAAGAGATGAGACTCCAGGTTCTGGTGTCTCCACTGTATGGGAAAGCAGCTGAGACACAGTCACATTTAAATAAACTTTCCAGAAACTGCAACTTAGCCCTCCAAGTGCCAAAATGGTTTTTCTGATTATTGTTTTTGGTAGAAAGATTTCTAATGTTATTAAATACTATTTTGCCTTCTTAAATGGAGTACATTAAACAGAACCTGACTCTTGGTTTTTTTCTCCTTCTTTTAAAAAAATTGTTGGTGAAGTATATCTCATACATGAATAAAACATGGATGCACGGTATAAATAATATAAATAAAATACCAACAGACCCATGCTCCAGTGAAGAAAAAAATATCACAATGGTACCTGATAAGCCTCCTCCTTCTCTGTTAGAAGTAACCACACTCCAGCAGACTATACATTGTGTCCTTGCTTCTCTTTACCACACATGAATGTAGCCCCAAACAATATAATTTGTTTTGCCTGTTCTTGAATTTTATGTAAATCAAATTGCTATTTTTATATTTTCTTGTGATTAGTTCCTTTTGCTGAACATTGTGTTTTTAATTTTCATTTATTTGTTTATTTTTTTTGAGACAGGGTCTTACTCTGTCACCCAGGCTGGAGTGCAATGGCCCAGTCACAGCTCACTGCAGCCCTGACCTCCTGGGTTCAGGTGATCCTCCTGCCTCAGACTCCCAAGTAGCTGGAACCATAGGCTCACACTGCCATGCTCAGCTAACTCTTTCTTAAATTTATTTGTAGAGACAGGGTCTCATCATGTTGCTCAGGCTCATCTCCAACTCCTGGGCTCAAACAATCCTTTTGCTTCTGCCTCCCGAAGTCCTGGGATTACAGGCATGAGCCACCACACCCGGCCGAATGTTGTATTTCTAGATTCATCCATGTTGCTGTGTGTAGCTTTAGTGTGCTCATTTTCCCGGCTGTATTATATCCCATTGTAGAGCATACCACAATGCACTCATTTGTTTTCCTGTTTGGTGGATATCTGAGGAATTTTGAGTACTGTTACAAACAGTGCTGCCATGGATTTTCTGGTACATGTCTCCTGTGACCATTGCAAGAGTTTCTCTCTGCACACGTTTAGGAATGAAACTCCTGGATCAAGGACTCTGCACATGCTCAGCTCTCCAAGGTGCTGCCAAACCAGATTCTCAAGTGGTTGTTCTTCTACCAGTGATTGGGGAACTGCTCATTGCTCCGCATGTTCACCAGCACTGGATAATGTCCTGTGGTTTAACTTTTCTAACTTTTCATGACACCCAGGATTTTCATGACCCCCTTCCCTGTTTGTGTATTGGGCTATAACACAGACTCGATACTGTTACACCCAATCGGCTCTGATGCTAGGCTCTCCTGACTGCTTTGTCTCTGAGTTTAACACAAGCTAACACCCATCTTATAATTGCTGGTAGACTGTCAGTCCACGGCAGCCTTTCCCCTCTCCCGTCCACATTCAAATCTGCTATGGAATGGGACGTTCCTCATCCAAATTGTTCCTCAAACTTTGTCTACACAAACAGTAAATATGCTCTGAAGGAGGGTCAAGATGGTGCACCTGTGAATAAATACATAAAATCTAGGCAGTGGATCCTGTGACATTTATTTTGGCTGTGAATAGTGTTTTTTGTCTTGTTTTGCTTTGAGAGTTGTTGTTTGTCTGTTCATTGGTTTTGGGGGTTGTATTGATTTCTGCTCATTTTCTGGTTCCTGGCAGTGTTCCAAATAGCTGGGGTTGCCGCATAAATCACTTCTGAACAAGTGAAGTGCTGTACCCTTTGAATGTACTTCTAATTTAATTTTGTATTCATTTAATTAAATTTGTATTTAATTTTTGTTGTTGGTATTCCCCCAAAAATATCATGTTTCACCTCGTAGATGGCACATATCCCTATGCCAAGAGACACTGAATATTCCAAAGAACCCAATTTTGCCCCCATCAACAGCACCCTCAGAAACAAGAATTGTTAGGACTGTCTGACTTTAAATGGAATTCATGCCTCACGTTGAGTTTGAGATTATTCCATGGACTCATCTAATGGCAAAACCAACAATCTTGGTAAAATCTTATTGTTAAAAAGTAGTTTGACAGGGGCTAAGACTGGGTTACTGACCAACTCTGGCAGATGTAAGCAGAATGGGAATTTATTAACAGGATGTTGGATATTCACAAAATCATCAGGTGGACTGGAGGACCAGGGTTGAGGCCATATAGCCAAAAACAGTGCCCAAAATCATAAAATCACATGGCAGAACCTGTTCAGTAAGGAGCCACCACTGCCACCAAGCACTGGGCACCTCATCTTGCCTCACACATGCCCCTGGTACTGAACACCGGGGGCAACCACTGCTGCCCAGGTCTCGAGCCTATTGCTGAGGCTGCCTGGACCAGAGAGCCTGCCCTTCGTGGAGCCTGGTTACAGGCTGTGACCTAGCTACAAGAGAGTCTGGGAAGACAAATGTGTTATTTTGGCTTGAGTTCTATCTATTTAGATAGAAGACTCAAAATAATTATGGTCTAAACAACATAGAACTTTATTTTTTGGCCAGGCATGGCGGCTCACATCTGTAATCCCAGCACCCTGGGAGGCCAAGGCAGGTGGATCACTTGAGCCCAGGAGCTTGAGATCAGCCTAGGCAACACGGCAAGACCCTATCTTTGCAAAAATACAAAAATTAGCCAGGTGTGGTGGTGCACGCCTGTAGTCCCAGCTACTCAAGAGGCTGGGGTGGGAGGATCACTTGAGCCTGGGAGATCGAGGCTGCAGTGAGTTATGATCACGCCACCACACTCCAGCCTAGGCAAAAAAGCGAGACCCCTTTCTCAAAAAAAAAAAAAAAAAAAAAAGAAAGAGTTTTTTTTTTTCTCTATGTAAAAAAGTTTGAAGGCAAACAAAGTTGGAGCGAGACCACTCTGGAGCTCCTTCTGCACTGCCTTTGCACACTGCCTTATGGACCAATAAGGCTGCTTGGGAGCCTGCCATCAAGTCCACATTCCAGATATCAGGAAGGAGAAAAGGGTAAGAAGCAGGCCCCCTCCCTCCCTTTACAACCACTTCCTGGAAATTGCCCATATCACTTCTGTCTCAATGGTTGAAACTTGGTCGCTTGGCAACATCTGGCAGAAAAGAGTCTGGGAAATGTAGTCTTTGGCCCAGGCAGCCATGTGCCCAGCTAAACATTGAGGGTTCTCTTATTAAAGGAGAAGGGGAGAGTGGACATCTGGGGAAGCCACTGGTAGTGTTGGCCACGACAAGTTCTTAGCAATGTTTGCTTTGTGTTCTGGGATGTGAGCTCTGTTCCCCACCATGGCTCAGAAAAGTGTGTGTGTGTGAGTGGGATACTCCCCAAACACAGAAAGGGGGTTCAGAAGCTAGACCACATATATATATATGTGTGTGTGTGTGTGTGAAAATAAATTGAGAACACAAAATGGCCACTACCATTTCTTCTACTCAGTGGTAGGCTGATTTACAGACTCACACAGGATGAGAGCATTCAAATGAAGGCATTTGGCAGAGAAAGACTGGAACATGGAGCAGAAGAGATTTGGAAATAGAGTCGTTTCCATCACGCAAATCTTCATTTTATCACAGGTTTGTGGGACCAGGGCAAGAATTCAAACAACAATTCACATACCATGTATCTAAATATTTAAAAGCTATAAGTCAAGATAAGAAATTATTCAATAAAACCTGTCTTCTTCTCCTGTCTTCACAAATGAACCTCCATAACATTCTGGAAGGCCAGGTATGACTTTAGAATCCTCAGACTCTTCAGACCAGAATGCAGCAGCAGAAGGAAAGGCAGCCCCGCTCAGGGCCTGCCTGCCGTTTGTTCCAACCCTCAGCCAGGGCCCCTTCTCAAGTGCACATGCTTGACACCAGCCTGCACCTCCGGGTTCTGCCCACTGCCCAGTCCCAAGCAGCTATCCCTTGGCCACTGGCTGCACAGGCTACCTTGAGAGGGTGGACCATGGAAACAGGCCCACCCAGAACCTGGAAGTGGGCTTGGGCCATTCGGGCAGAGATTCTGGGGTCCTGAGTATGGAGCATGGGCTGGAAGGGGTGGGTGTGGGCATAGACTCTGTCTGGGCATCACCCTCAGCCCTGAGGACCCCCTCGCCCCAGGGACAAAGGGAGGCCTGCGGGGAAGGGATCTCCAAAGGGCAGGGCTTGCCTGGTCTCAGAGTGGTACTGGGTCACTTTGTCACACTGACTGGGCAGGCTTGTCCATAAAGTGAATTGAGAATAACTGGAAGCTTTTTTGAGAGTTTTCCCTATTCCATCTGGGATCTAAAGATTGCCCCTGGATTACTGACGATGCGAGAGGGATTTCTTTAGCCATGACTCTATGTTGGGGGAGATTCAGCACTAAGTACATTTCTCTTCATCTCTGGAAACAAATCCAAACTATAAAACCAAAACCAAAATAGAACAACGAAAAACAAATCCCTCTTCCTTCCCTTGACACACTCAGCCCATTTCTCTGTCGGTTTCCTTCAGCTCTGACACCCTCCAATCAGGCTCTCTCCCATCGTTCTTCTGCCTTTCCGTGCTCACTTTCCTCCCCCCGCCCTTCTTCCCTGGCTCCTGTCTTAATCCCTGCCATAGCGACAGGGAAAAAAACAACATAACACTGGGGCAGATGAGAGCTGAGTTTCAGAGCCCTACTGAGGAGCGCAGGCTAGCGGGGAACCAGGAGTTTCCATAACGAAACTGACAAGAGGAAAACCTTGAAATCTTGGAGGAGTAATGAGGAAAACCTTGGGGTTAGAGAAAGAAGAGGCCTTCCAAAAGCCCAGAGGAGGCCGAGATAAAAAGAACAAGGAAGGGCCAGGCGCAGTGGCTCACGCCTGTAATCTCAGCACTTTGGTAGGCCGAGGTGGGTGGATCATGAGGTCAGGAGTTTGAGACCAGCCTGGCCAACATGGCAAAACCCCATCTCTACTAAAAATACAGAAATTATCTGGGCGTGGTGGCATGCGCCTGTAGTCCCAGCTACTCAGGAGGCTGAGGCAGGAGAATCACTTGAACCTGGGAGGCGGAAGTTGCAATGAGATGAGATCATGCTGCTGCACTCCAGCCTGGGTGACAGAGTGAGACTCCATCTCAAAAAAACAAAAACAAAAAAGAACAAGGAGGAAGGGCTTTGGAAAGTTGGTAAAAGGTTAATCTATTTGCCCTCCATGCCACTTAGCCCCTGACCATCCCAAAACACAGAAGTCAACATCCTTGGGATGAATTATGAGCAGAGGGAGAAATTCCAGGGCAGGGGAGCAGACATCAGGAAAACTGAGATCCTTCTTCTGAAAGGACATAAAAAGTTAATATTTTTGTAAATTGGAACCCAAGCATTTCAGGCCTGGTGGGATGATAAGGGGTTAAAGCTTCCACGGAGCAAACCTAAAGTAGCTTGGAAGGGTGTGGCCCCCAATTTGATTTATTTTAGAAGCATGGAAAGCCAATGAATGTGCTTCTGGCCACAAGACAGGACAGGTGAGAAAAAAGAAAGGAAAGAGGCCTGGTTTGTGTTTCCTGGAAAGGGAGTGTCGTTACAGCTCTCCTGGGGAGCACACACACGCCTCTCGTAAATGTATATGAGCCCTGATTAGTTGGCTCCTGCTCACCACCCTAGCATGTTCCCAGTGGCTGGCTCCCTGGCGTTCTGGCACTCAGGGCTGCCAACACCTGCCAACAACAAGGAAGCTGGGTATTGGGGCTGCAGCTTTTGGAAGCTGCTTATGAAACAGATGACTAAGCCCTGGGGGCAGGGGGAGGGTGCAGCTCATGCCTAGCTCAGCGAGAACTCAATCCAAGTCAGCCTTGACCCGGTGCCAACCATGTGCCAGGCTAGTCCCTGGGGATGTGAAGATGACGAGGCATGGTCCCTGCTCCAAAGGACCAGGCATGCCCATAAAGAATTGTAATCAGAGGCATGAATCTGCAGAAGAGGAGAATACAGGGTTTGGCAGTGGACATGATTTCCCAGGGGGACAGTGATAGAGGCAAAAGAAGGGGGAAGGGGAGTTTCTCCATTCATGTAGTCAGGCTAAGAGTTTTAGCCTCTTCCTAAAGCACACACCCTCTTCCTCATGCCCTCTTAATCCAGTTAGTCTGGCTTCTGTCACCCAAGTGGCTCTCAGACTCTTTCCTCTTCTCCTGTCTTGGCTCAGGTCCTCATTTCTGGCTTTGGCCCAGGCTCTTTGCACTCAGCACTGCAGACAACTTCCTACAATTCAGGTCCAGTGGGCTTGCCCCCCTCCTTGAAGCTGTCTATTGTTTCCCATTGCCCCAGAATAAAAGCTAAGCCCCAAGGTCCTTCACATTGCAGCCCCAAGCTGCCTAAAGCCGAGGGCTCAAGGAGGCTTCAGTGTAGGTTTGACTCAATAGCACCACAATGTCATCAAAACCCCTTCTTCTTCTTGGTGTTTTCCTCTCTGCCCTCCATGGTGTTGTCTTCATGCTCAGGCAGGCTTTTCTCATGGTGAGAAAACGGCTGCCACAATTCCTGTTTTCACACCTATGCTCCATGCTGTATAGAAGGAGAAAGGGAGAGAGCTTCTTTCCCTGAACCTGCCAGCAAAGTCTTCTCCAGTCTCTCAGGTCAGAATTGGGTCATTTGCCCATCTGCAGGCAAGAAGGGATTTTGCTGATTAGTCTATACTGGGGCTATTTACCCCAAGCCTAGGCCAGGGTGGAGTCGACTTCCTCCAAAAAATATGGGAAGTGTAGGGAGGGTGGATACCCCAAGGAAAATGGGGTAGTTACTGAGAGAGAATGGATGCTGAAGAGGCCACCCTTCCAGCATCTCCTCCCGACAAGCCCCACCCAGCTACTTCTTTTTCCCAAACACGTCATGTTCTTTGGTGTCTCCCAAGCCTTTGCACATGCCTTCCCTTCACCTGGGATGGCTTTTCATTCCTCTTGCTCAGTGAATGCCTACTCATTTCTCAAATGCTTGCCCATCACTTTCCCTATTCTTTAGATACTGCAGTCAACTTAAGGACAGGTTCTTATTCACTCCTAGCATAATGCAATACCTGGCAAAAAGTAGGTGCTCAATAAATGTTTATCAAGTTAATGAACACTGCTGATGAGACAATAGCAAATCCCAAGTTCACAACAAAGAGCTAGTATGTCTTCAAAATCTCTTCCCAACATCTAAAATGTAACAAATATAAGTAGAATTGTAGTGTATAAAGCTAGGATGGGTTCAGGTAAAGAAATGTTGAGGGGCCAGAGTTTGTCCAAGCATCTCTAGCATCATCCCAGAAAAAGGGCTCCCTCCCAGGCTGGCAGGAATGTTTTAGTTCTCCTGGCAGGTTTGTAGGTCCTGAAATGGAAAGGGACCTATCAGGCTCTCATAGTCCGATCCATTAATCTTCTAACCATTTAGACTAGCCTACTGGGAAGAGATTGAAATGGTCAGCCAACTCAGGCACTCTCATCTGGCTGACAATTATAGTCTTACTGTTCTTGAATAACTTGGCCTTCTGGTTTACCAGAGAATCTGCATTTCATTAGCATGGTTTGGTCTCTGAGACCAACACTATCAGTTGCTTCCTCGCTATTTTCTTCCTTAGTCACAGAATCCCTGAATTTTAGCCAGCGACTTGGTCACCTAGAACACAGAGTACATTTCTCAGCCTCCCTTGCAGCTAGATAGGGCCATATGACTAAATCCCGACAAATGGATGTAAATAAAAGTAATATGTGTGTAACTTTTTGGAAGTGCCATGAAAAGGTGGTAGTGTGTCCTTCTTCCCTTTTCCTTTTCTGCAGGCTGGAAGGTGGTCGCACTGGCTGGAGCTGGAGCAGTCATCTTGGACTGTTGTGGAATTTGGAAATATAGCCCATGCATGGTGGACCAACAGATAGAAGGAACTTGGGTTAAATATTGCACAAAGAGCCATATCAGTAGCCCTCAAGACCTACCTAAGCATTTACATAAGAGAAATGCATTTCTCTCTCTCTCTCTCTCTTTTTTTTTTTTTTTTTTTTTTAGAGATGACGTCTCGCTTGTCTCTTAAAGTTGGGCAACATAACAAGATACCATTTCTAAAAAAAAAAATTAGCTGGCACAGTGATGTGTACCCATAGTCCAAGGTACTTGGGAGACTGAGGTGGGAGGATCACCTGAAGCCAGGAGGTTGAGGCTGCAATGAGCTATGATCACGCCACTGTACTCCAGCCTGGGCAACAGAGCAAGACTCTGTCTCTCTTAAAAAAATTATATTAATTACATGTTGAAATAATAATGGTTTAGCTATATTGGGTTAACATATGCTTTTTACTTTTTAAAATGTTACTACTAGAAAATTTTAAGTTACATTTATGGCTCACACTATATTTCTGTTGGACAGTGCTTCCCTGGGCCTTGTCCCCTCTGTCTGAACTGATAATATCAGATTACTGAGCCATGTAAAGCTGAGAGATGATTAGAAACTGAGCTCACACTCACCCACCAAGGTCTAGACTCTAACTCTGCCTCTGGCTCTGTCTGTCTGTCTGTCTGTCTTTTGCTCACTGGAATCTCTCACCTTATTTGTTAAATTACCTTATCTGCAACCAGAATAGGTATAAAGCTCAGCACAGAGCATGGGTCAGCCCAGAAGGAATGAGAACAGGAATCAGGAGGTGCTCAGGAAGTCTGAAAGGAATGTCTCTGGGATCCAGGCTTCAGTACCTAGCTAAGGCAGCAGACCACCCACAGGTACATGATCACTTTTATCAGCAGCAGAGAACCACATTTCAGCCATACCAAGCCTTCTTGAAAGGCTTCAGAGAGGGGTTTTGTATTTGGACCTCCAGGAGAAATACAATACATACACTTTCAAATTGTCCATTGATCTGAAGGAGAAAAAGGAGAATGTCCACCTGCTTGGGGTGCAGTTCTCCGTGAAGATTTTCCGATAGGGCTGTGTTAACCCATGCCTTAGTCAGCAGAAGCCATCTTGAACTTGTTCAGGCAATACCAAAGAAAGCTTCCTGGAAGAATCCTGGGATATCCATGGAAGCCAGGGCCAGCAGGCTTTCTCCAGGAATAGAAGCCCAAGAACTGGAAAGGCACTGGGAACCAGGCAGTATCTCTGCATTTTGAATCTGCAGCTCTGTTTTTTTCTCCTCTCTGCAAACCAAGCTGCTTTTCTTCTCAGTCCCCCAACCTCACCCCACCTACACACTCACACATGCACTTTCTTTCTTTTTTTTTTTTTTTTAAGACAGAGTCTTGCTCTGTCGCCCAGGCTGGAATGTGGAGTGCAGTGGCGCCATCTTGGCTGACTGCAACCTCTGCCTCCTGGGTTCAAGCAATTCTCGTGCCTCAGCTTCCTAAGGAGCTGGGACTCAGGCACGCGCCACCAAGCCTGGCTAATTTTTTTGTATTTTTAGTAGAGACGGGGTTTCGCCATATTGGCCAGACTGATCTCTAACTCCTGGGCTCAAGTGATCCACCCACCTCGGCCTCCCAAAGTGCTGGGATTACAGGTGCGAGCCACTGTGCCTGGCCCAACACTTCCTCATTTGTATCTCTTCCACTCAGGGCACCATATCAAACCAACTGGCTATCTCTTGGTCATCAAAATTCTAATAATCTGATTGACCAAGCCTTGGGCAACTGTTCACCTTGGTTTATGGAAACCAGGTGGCAAGGTCACATACTTTACACAGGCTGTCGGAGACTCATCTCTTTGGGTGACTTCCCATGCTACCTATGAGCTGGGTGGGTAGCATCAGAAGTATCCATCAACAACCTGGGGGCAATCACTGATGTGCCTTATGCCAAAGGACATGGTCAGCATCACCGTCATCCCCATCATCTGTCCTAATCACAGCCAACACGTTACTTCATTCAGTCCTCTCAACAGCTCTATTTTACAGTTGTAAAATTGTGATTGTTCCTATTTTACAGATTTAGAAATTGAGGCATCACATGACCAAGGTCACACAGTTAGTTAAGGGCACAGCTAGGAATCAACCGCAGGAGATCTGCCTCCAGTCTGGGCTCGTAACCACTGGATTCTACTCCCTGGAAGTACCCAGATGCTCTACTGTCCCCAGGGAAGCCCAGGAAGGGTGACATCACCTTCTCCCTCTGTGGCATGAGCTCTGTTCCTCCCTGCCCTCCGTCCCTGCCACTCAGGCTCATGCACAGCCCTCAGCCACACACACGTGACATCTGCTTTCCAACATTCCTTCCACCTTTCCTGATGCTGTTCCTCTGCCCAGAACCCTTTTCTCCCCACTCCCCCTCTATGTGACTGGCTCCTTCATGTCTCAGCTTAAATGTCACAGCCTCAGGGAGGCCTCGTGACACCCCAAGCCCCAGGCAGACCCTTCTTTTGTGATCTCACCACTCCTTGACCCTATCCTTTGGACCACGTTTCACCATTTGCGATCAGACACCTTTGGTGTGTTGTCTGTTTCACATCTGTCTCCTGACCAGACCGTAAGCCCCAGCAGCGTGAAACCCAGGTCTGGCTGGTTTACTGCCTTATCCTGAGCCCCATCTGAGTGGGGGCTCGATAAATGTTTGTCGAATGAATTAATGAAATGGAAAGGTACCAGGACACCAACAATATGAAATGAAACAGAACAGCCCTGGAAGCAAAGGGAGAAGGGTGCACAGAATGTGCAATAATAGCCGATAACAGACAGAACAGGACACTCGGGAACATGCGGCAAGGGCACCAGGACCAGAACTCCCCCTGGCCATTCTAGAATGTTCGCAGCTCAAGTGGTCTCCTCTGAGAGGATGCTGACCAGAGCTCCGGGTGGATTATAGTACTCAGGGGGACCAACCTCATACTCCCGTGCAGGAGCCCTGCTCCCAGTCTTGCTTGGAAAAAGATGCTACACAAAGGAGCCCTTCTCTCGCTTACATGGAAACTCCTGTCTGGAATAGTTCTAGTCGCAGCCTTCATTGCTGGGTCCCTGCTTCTCTGTCTATAAAATTATAGCTGAGCAAAATCAGATTCTTGTTGAAAATTAACATTTTAATCCCCAGGTGTCGACTCAGCATTCGGGAAGTTTCAAGAGTCCAACACAGTGTGGCAAAAAGAGCAAGGAGACAAAGAGCTTGACTTCGCCTCACTGGGCTTCCAATTCCTCTTCTGCAGAAACCAGAGGGCTGGATTCATAACTATGGGACCCTCTCCACTGCCAAAACTCTGTAATTCCTTGGATAAATCTTTTAGAAACTGAAGCTGCCTTTAAGGGCCCTAAAGTAATGGTAAAATATAATAGTAAACCGTACTAACTGACTCTTACAAAGTAATTCTTAGGTTTCAAGCCCCATGCCTAGCTCTCTTCACAAATTACTTCATTTACCTTGGTGGACTCAAGACCCAGAGATGGTAAGTAATTTACCCAGGGCCACACAGCTGGTAGGTAATGGACTTGGAATCTGAGCCCAAGCCAAACATATATGTTTAATTATTACCATCTTCTGCCTAACCCAGTGGCTCTAACAGCTGGGGATTCATTTAGACACTCAGGTACTTGAGTCAACTTTATGAATCAAAAGTAATAATACTGACCTGTCCTGCTGAGGGACAGTGAAAAATGGGCTGCTGACTTCCTGCAGTAGAACTCAGTATAAAACAAGCAAGAGGTGAAAAATCAAATAAGGCTAGGCACGGTGGCTCATGTCTATAATCCCAGCACTTTGGGAGGCTGAGGTGGGAGGATTGCTTGAGCTCAGGAGTTGGAGACCAGCCTGGGCAATATGGCCAAACCCCATCTCTACAAAAAATACAAAAATTAGCCAGGCGTGGTGGTGCATGCCTGTAGCTCAGCTAGCATGCCTGTAGCTCAGCTACTCAAGCAGCTGAGGTGGGAAGATCACTTGAGCCTGGGAGGTTGAGTCTGCAGTGAGTGCCACTGCACTCCGGTTTGGGTGACAGAGTGAGACCCTGTCTCAAAAAAATAAAATAAGCAACAACAGGCTACCCCAGGTACATAAAGCCTCAGTGATCTAGGGAGATTCTGATTCTGTCAACAGCATGTAGTTCTCACAGCATGGTGGGGAGAAAAGATGGGGATGGAAGGATTTGTTCATTACTGCACCACAGAACACGAGAATCAGGTTCACCCCCGCTCCGTCTAAATACTCCCCTAGGGCAGCCCGAGATCAGAGCTGAGTGGACCCAGAGTGCAGGCTGCGTTGTCAGCTGCCTGAGGGACACCCTCAACTCTCCCAGCCTCCCATCCGCCGCACCTGCTGGTTATAAGCCCTTTAGTGTAGGGACCATGAACTCAGGTGCGATGAGAGGCAGGCAGATAACAGAACTGGGCAAAAGGGGAGGCTGGGGATGACAGCTGATTGTTGTCTTGCCCTGTTATCAGACACTCCGCTTTAAGATAAATAGATAACAGACTTTATTCCACCTTTATGTGAAATGTGTTGATTTTTAAATACTAGAAACTTACTTTTAAAAATGTCTTAAAACCATGGCAAGGTGAACAATATGCAGGAATGGGCCAGATACGGCCTGGGGATCCCTTTGCCATCCTGTTTTCTGTGTCATGGAGGGGAGGCTTTTCATTAGTAGACTAAATATTAGAATGCCACATGCTTTCTTCTCTAATACTGCAGCCACCGCTCCTGCAAAGAATACTAAATCATAAATATTCCAGTTCTTAACCCATCTGCTGTGCCTAAGCCATGTCAGGGCCCATTTGGTCTCCTCTGTGAGACACGCGGCAGGGCTCTTACAGACGACTCCACAGGGACAGGGCAGGGAGCCCTGGAGGGAAGCTCTGAAAGAGGCGTCCACCAGGGGTTTTTGAGGATCCTGGCTACCCTTGGGGGTATGAGGGGATCTGCTCCTACAAGGTGACCCTGGTCAGAGCATCAGACTCTAGTTAAGTGAGCCAAGCAGAAGGGAGAAGCTATCCCTCTCCCCACATCCTCTGCGGAGGCCTCAAGGTCAACTCGCTGGCTCCGACCCCCTAGCCTACCAGTTTCAGGCCTCCAGGAAAGAGCAAACTGCTAAAGCTGGCCATGCATCAGGAGGAAACTGGCTCTCTCTAGGCCTAAGACTGAGTAAGGTTCTTCTCTGTGCTCTAGGGAGAGCCCTGGAGTTGCCAATGCCTCACAGGGTGAAGGGGAAATCAAGCTCCTTCCTCACTATCCCAAGCAGCACTCCAATCTCTGTGTTTCTAAGACCAAAACCAAAACAAAACAGGCCCCTAACGCCCCAAAAACTGCAAGCAGATATTTGAAAGAATGTGACATTGTTTCAGACTCTTTAGTTCTTTTAAAAGCAAATGGATGCACCTCACCTGTGTGAAACTCGGCCACGTGGCAACTTTCCAGGTCTCTATGACCTGAGCTGCTCAATTATCCTGTCCCAATGTCACTGCCTCCATCTAGAAAATGAGGATAAAATGCCTGCCCAGCCTACCAGACAGAATTGCTGTGAGGTGCCAATGAAATCATGTATGAGAAGCACTTCCAAACCAAGAAATGCTTTATAAATGTAAATTGTGATTATTTTAAATGTTTACATACCTGAGAATAAAGACTTAAAATGCAAAAGTCCTAAGAAAGCCAAATGTTGTCATTTGTTAATGACATGTGTTAATATACATCATTTATAGGCGAACACTTCAGGCTCTCACTTTGTGCCTATTTATTCTTGTTTTACACACAATTTGAACAAACTTGATTTCTAGGTAGGCAGATTGATTACAAAGTGGGGAGGAGGTGCCTGAAGTACCCAGATAGCAGTCTGAAAACAAATTACCCAATAATTATATACATCTATATGTATATAGTTATGTATATATACAAGTAGATAGTTATATATATAGTTCTATAACTATGTACGTACATTGTCATATGTATATTAAATTAACTAAAATCCACACTTTACTCAGATTTCCTTAGTTTTCTTTTTCATTTTATTTTTTTGTTTTGTTTTTAGTATAGAGATGAGGTCTCGCTTTGTTGCCCAGGCTGGTCTCAGACTCCTGGGCTCAAGCGATCCTCCCAGCTGGGTGTCCCCAAGTGCTGGGATTACAGGTGTGAGCCACCGCACCCGGCCCAGTTTCCTTAGTTTTTGCCCAATATCTCTTTTCGGTTCTGGGCTCCCAACCTGGATGCCATATCACATTTAATTGTCTCGTCTCCCCAGGCTGCCTCTGTCCAGACTGTACTCTTCGGAGGAAAGTCACTATGCTCAGCCCACACTTAAACAATGGGGAGTTTTGCTCCACCTCCTTGAGGACAGAGATTCTGCATAAGTTATTTGCAATTCTTCTGCATGGGAGATTTCTCTCTTCTGTATTTATTGACTTAATTATCTACTTATATCAGTATGGACTCCTGGATATTTATTTTATACTTTGGGTTATAATCCAATACTAGTGTGTTTATTTTGTTGTTCAAATTGTTCCCGTTTTGGTCGTTGGGAACTCTTTTCGTTGGTTTCTGTGATCTTTGACAAACTTCCCGAATATGGAGGGTTTTCTTAAAGTACTTTCTTACTTTTTGGCACTACAAAATCATTCAGGCTCACTGCATGTATTTTCTGCCCTGGTCCTAGAAGCAGCCATTTCTTAAAGGGATCCTGATTCTTTTTATTAGATAATAGTTAGAAACTAAGATCTGGGTACTAGGTATAATCATTGCTACTGGGGTGTCATTGCTTCTAGGGCCTCTCAGCTGGCAAAGCAAGGAAATACATGTGTGCATACTAATCTGTGGACAAACAGAAATCTATAAATATTTTTCTTTTTTTTGAGACAGGGTCTTACTCCCGTTACCCACACTGGAGTGCAGTAGCACAATCATGGCTCACTGCAGCCTTGACCTCCTGGGCTCAGGTGATCCTCCCACCTCAGCTTCCCAAGTAGCTGGGACTACAGACGCATGCTACCACACCCGTCTAATTTTTTTTTTTTTTAGTAGAGACGAGGTTTCACCATGTTGCCCAGGCTGATCTCAAACTCCTGGGCTAAAGCTATCCACCCACCCCACTTCAGCCTCCCAAAGTACTGGGATTACAGGTGTGAGCCACCATGTCTGGCCTATAAATATTTCTATATGTAACAATCTGCATCTGTATGAACGGTTTAGGCATGAGTACTGGGATTACAGGCATGAGCCACCATGCCCAGCCAATAAATATTTCTACATGTAACAATCTGCATCTATATGAACGGTTTAGGCATGAGTGCTGGGATTACAGGCATGAGCCTCCATGCTCAGCCAATAAGTATTTCTATATGTAACAATCTGCATCTATATGAACGGTTTAGGCATGAGTGCTGGGATTACAGGCATGAGCCTCCATGCTCAGCCAATAAGTATTTCTATAGGTAACAATCTGCATCTATATGAACAGTTTAGGTGTGAGTGCTGGGATTACAGGCATGAGCCACCATGGCTGGCCAGTAAGTATTTCTATATGTAACAGTCTGCATCTATGAACGGTTTAGGTGTGAGAGCTGTAGTTACAGGCATGAGCCACCATGCCCGGCCAATAAATATTTCTATATGTAACAATCTGCATCTATGTGAATGGTTTAGGTTCTTCAACTCTAATCTATTACCACATGGATCGTTCTAGCCTCATCCCTGGCTTATCGGCAAACTTGCATTCCAACAGTGAGAAACCTGGCTTCCATCATCTGCCATCAATTTACTTAATTGTTCAATTCATGTATATTTGTATAGTAGTGTCAGAATTGTAAACACGTGCCTCCTTTATAAACAACTTTCTCAGCTATAGCACGGTACTTACGTGCAGTTCCCTTTGCTTTTAGTCTCACTTAAGTCCACTAATTTCCTAAATTACTTAGGTCAGCACCTTTTTCTCCCATTCCCTTCACTTAGGTGTTTCATGAATTCATAATATAGTTAGATTCCTTTGTCACAATCTGCATTTCATGCTGCAGATGATGAATGATGATGTCTGGCCTCCTACATGATTTTTTTAAAGTTTGCACACATTAATGTTCACTCTTCATGCTGTAAAGTTCTATGGGGTTTGACAAATGCATAATGTCATGTATCCACCAATACAGTATCATACAGCATGATTCCACCACCCTAAAAAAATCACCTGTACTTCACCGATCCAACCCTCTCCCCTCTATCCAAATCCCTGGCAACCACTGATCTTTTTACTGTCTCTATAGTTTTGCCTTTTCCAGAATGTCATACGATTGGAATAATACATTATGTAGCCTTTCCACACCAGCTTTTTCCACTTAGCAATGTGCACATAAGGTTCCTTCATGTCTTTTCATTACTTGATAGTTCACTTCTTTTTATCGCTGGATCACATTCCATTGTATTGATGTGTCACAGTTTGTTTATCCATTCACCACTGAAGGACATCTTGGTTGCTTCCAATATTTAGTGACTATGAATAAAGCTGCTATAAACATTCACATGCAGGCTTTTGTATGGACATATGTTTTCAGTTCATTCAGGTAAATACCTGTGTGTGCAGCTACTGGATCATATGGTAATACTATGTTTAGCTTCGTAAGAAGCTGTTAAACTGTCTCCCAAAGTAGCTGTACCACTTTGCCATTTCCACCAGCAGTGAATGAGAGCTCCTGTTGCTCCACATCTTTGCCAGCATTTGGTATTGTCAGGTTTTTGTTTTGTTTTGTTTTGTTTTGTTTTGTTTTGAGGTTTTGTTTTTTGCCATTCTAATAAGTTATCACATAACTATGTAGTCATATCCCATTGCTATTTTAATTTGCAATTCCCTAATGATAAATAATGTTACACATCTTTTCATATGCTTATTTGCCATTTGTATATCTTCTTTGGTGAAATGTCTACGCATGTCTTTAGCCCTTTTATTAATTTTCTGCTTTTTTCTTTTATTGCCAAACCCAACATCACCTAGATTTTCTTCTGTTTTCTTCTTCTAATCCATGAACATAGAATAGCTCTTTAGAAGTGTTATAGTTTTCCATTTCATATTTAGGTCTGTGATCCATTTTGAGCTAATTTTTGCAAAAGGTGTATATTCTGTATCCGGATTCATTTTTTGCCTATGGACATCCAATTGTTCCAGTGCTGTTTGTTGAAAAGACTATCCATTCTCCACTGCATTGTCTTTGCTCCTTTTTCAAAGACAATTTGACTATATTTGTGTGATTGTTTTCTAATAGAGCTTTTTATTCTATCCCATTGATCTATGTGTCTATTCTTTCATTGATACCATAGCCCTGATTACTATAGCTTTATAGTAAATCTTGAAATCAGATATTGTGAGTATTAGCCAATGCAATACTGAAGAAGAATAACAAAGTGGTTGCCAGGGATTTGGGTGGGTCTTTTGCCTTTACATGTACATTTTAGAATCAATTTGTTGATATCTACAAAATAGCTCCCTGGGATTATGTCAAATCTAGCAATCAAGTTAGAATAATTGACATTTTAACAATATTGAGTCTTGTGATCCATGAACATAGAATAGCTCTCCATTTTTTTAGATCTTCTTTGATTTATTTGTTTCACAGTTTCCACATATTGATTCTGTACATATTTTATTAGACTTATACCCAAGTGTTTCATTTTTTCTATGCTATTGTAAATGATATATTTTTAAATTTTCAACTGTTCATTGCTGGTATACAGAAAAACAGTTGGCATTTGTATTAGGTTGGTGCAAAAGTAATTGCAGTTTTTACCACTACAAGTAATATATTGACCTTGTAGACTGCAACCTTGCTATAATTGCTAAATAATTCCAAGTTTCTCATGGGTTTATTTTTTGGTTTTGTTTTCTTTTGTTTTGCTTTTGCTATTGTTTTTGTCAATTCTTTGCATTTTTTCTACACAATCAAGTCAACTATGAACAAAGACAGTTTTAGTTCTTCCTTCCCAACCTGCATATATTTTATCTCATTTTCTTTTGTTTTTTAATTATAATACTAGCTAGGATTCCCTGTACAGTGCTCAATAAGAGGGGTGATAGGGGACATACTTGCCTTGTTCCAGTCATAGGAAGAAAGCATCCAGTTTCTCACTGTTAAGTATGATGCTAGTTGTAGGCCTTTTGTAGATGTTCTTTATTAAGTTGAGGAAGAATCCGCTATTCCTAAGTTGTTGAGAGTTTTTATAATGAATGGTGATGGATTTTATCAAACGCTTTTTTTGAATCAATTGATGTAATTATATGATTTTCTTCTTTATCTTGTTGATGTGAATTACATTGATTGATTTTTAAATGTTGAAACAGTCTTGCATTCCTGGAATAAATCCCACTTGGTCATGCTCTATAATTATTTGTATACATTATTTGATTTGATTTGTTAATATTTTGTTGAGGATTCTTGAATTTATGTACATGAAAAATAATAGTCTTTACTTTTCCTTTCTTGTAATGTGTTTTCTGATTTTGGTTTTAGAGTAATGCTGGCCTCACAGAATGAGTTAGGAAATGTTCTTTGTGCTTCTATTTTCTGAAAGAAATGTTCCTTAAATGTCTGGTAAAACTCACCAGTGAAATCATCTGGGCCTCGTGCTTTCTTTCGTGGAATACTATGAATTATTGATTCAATTTCTTTGATAGATGTAGAACTATTCAAACTATCTCTTTCTCCTTGTGTGAGTTTTAGTAGTTTGTGCCTTTTGAGGAACTGATCCATTCATCATAGTTATCAAATTTGTGGGTATAAAGTTGTTCATAGTATTCTTTTATTATCCTTTTAGTGTCCCTGTGATCAGTAGTGATAGCCTCTCCTTCATCTCTGATATTGATAATTTGTGTCTTCTCTCTTTTTTTCTTGATTAGCATGTGTAGAGGTTTATCAATTTCATTGATCTTTTCAAGGTACTAGTTTTTGGTTTTGTTGATTTTCTCTACTGTTCTCCTGTTTTCAAATTTATTGGTTTCTTCTATAATTTTTATTATTATTTTCTGCTGCTTGCTTCGAACTTAAATTAGTGTTCTTATTCCAGTTTCCAAGGTGAAAGCTTAGATTGTTGATTTTAGATATTTCTTCTTTTCTAATATATGCATTCAATGCTATAGATTGCCCTCAAATTTCTACTTTCACTGCATCCCACATACATTGATAAGTTGTATTTTCATTTTCATTTAATTCAAATATTTTAAAATTTCTCTTGAGACTTTTTTGGCCCTTGTGTTCTTTAAATGTATGTTGTTAAATCTCTAAATATTTTTGGATTTTCCAGCCACCTTTCTGTTACTGATTTTTAGTTTAATTCCATTGTGGTCTGAGAACATACGTTGTATGATTTCTATTCTCTTAAGTGTGTTAAGGTGTGTTTTATGGCTCAGAATGTGGTCTGTCTTGGTGAATGTTCCATGTGAGTTTGGGAAGAATGTATACTCTGCTCTTGCTGCTTTGAATATTCTATAAATGTCAATGAAATCAAGTTGATTGGTAATTCTGATCAGGTCAACTATATCCTTACTGATTTTCTCCCTGCTTGATTTATCAATGACTGAAAGAGAGGTGTTGAAGTCTCCAATTATAGTAGTGCACTTGCCTAACTCTCCCATCAGCTCTGTCAATTTTTTTTTTTAAGATGGAGTTTTATTTGTTGCCCAGGCTGGAGTGCAGTGGCATGCTCTCAGTTCACTTCCACCTCCACCACCTGGGTTCAAGCGATTCTCCTGCCTCAGCCTCCTGAGTAGCTGGGATTACAGGCACCCACCACAACCCCCGCTAATTTGTGTATTTTTAGTAGAGATGGGGTTTCACCATGTTGGCCAGGCTAGTCTCCAACTCCTGACCTCAGGTGATCCATCCCTGTCAGCCTCCCAAAGTGCTGGGATTACAAGCGTGAACCATTGCGCCCATCCAGTTCTGTAAATTTTTGCATCACACATTTTGATGCTCTGTTGTTAGGTGCATACACATTATGGATTGTTATGTCCTTTTGGACAATTGGCCCGTTTATCAATGTGTGATTCCTCTGTTTAGTCCTGAGAATTTTCATTTTCCAAAGTCAGCTTTGTCTGAAGTTAATGGAACTACTCCAGCTTTGTTTTCTTAGTGTTACCATGGTGTGTCTTTCTCCACTCATTTACTTTTAACTTATCTGAATCATGATATTTAAGATGGGTTTCTTATAAGCAAAATATAGCTGTGTCTTGTTGTGTTATTTAGCCACTCTGATAATCTCTGTCTTTTAATTTGTATACTTAGACCAGTCACATTTAAAGTGATTATTGATATAGTTGGGTTAAATCTATCATGTTTGTAACTGTTTTCTATTCATTGTACTTATTCTTTGCTTCTTTTTCTTCTTCCCTGTTTTTCTTGCCTTCTCTGAGCATTATTTAATTGAGCATTTTATATGATTTCATTTTATCTGTTAGCATATCAATTATATTTCCTTTAAAATTTCTTTTAGTAGTTAGCCTAGAATTTGCAATATACAATTACAACTAATTTAAGTCACTTCAAATAAAACTATACTAATTCACATGTATTGTAGGTACCTTATAACAGAATTTCCAATTCCTCCTCTTCTCCCTTATAACATTGCTGTCATTCATTTCACTTATTCATATTCTATAATTTACCCAATAACTTATTATTTTGCTTTAAACAGTTATCTTTTAGATCAATTAAGAATAAAAATAATTTTTTTTTTGAGATGGAATCTCACTCTGTCGCCCAGGCTGGAGTACAGTGGCACAATCTCAGCTCACTGCAACCTCTGCCTCCTGGGTTCAAGCGATTCTCCTGCCTCAGCCTCCTGAGTAGCTGGGATTACAGGTGCATGCCACCACACCCGGCTAATTTTTGTATTTTTAGTAGAGATGGGGTTTCACCACGTTGGTCAGGCTGGTCTCGAACTCCTGACCTTGTGATCCACCCACCTCAGCCTCCCAAAGTGCTGGGATTACAGGCGTGAGCTACCACACCCGGCAAAAAAATAAACTTTTGTTTTACCTCCATTAATTTCTTCTCCAGTGCTCTTTCCTTCTTTATGTGGATCTGATCTTATATCACTAACCTTCTCCCTGGATTATTTTTTTAAAATTTCTTTCAGGGCAAATCTGCTGGCAATGATATCTTGTTTTTGTTTGAAAAGTCTTTATTTCTTCTTTATTTTTGAAGGATAATTTCACTGGATATAGAATTCTAGGTTGGTAGGGGTTCTTTCTCCAACATTTTAATATTTTACTACACTCTCCTCTTGCTTGCATGGTTTTTGACAAAAGATTCTCTGTAGGTATTATCCTTGTTTGTCTATAGGTAAAGGGGCTTTCCCCTCCAGGTTCTTTTAGGATTTTTCTCTTTGTCTTTGGTTTTCTGAAATTTGAATACAATTTTCCTAAGTGTAGATATTTTTGATATTTATCCTGCTTGATGTTCTCTCAACTCCCTGGATCTGAGGTTTGGTGTCTGTCACTAATTTGGACAGTTCTTGACCATTATTATTTCAAATATTTCTTTTGCTGTGTAATCTCCTTTAATTTCTGGCATTCCAATTATGTGTATGTTATATCTCTTGAAGTTATCCCACAGTTCTGGGGTTTCTGTTTTGTTTTGTTTGTTTCTCTTTTTTTCCTCTTCACATTTCAGTTTGAGAAATTTCTATTGACATATCTTTAAGCTCACTGATTCTTCCCTTAGCCAATTCATTCTACTAATGAGCCCATCAAAGGCATTCTTCATTTCTGTTGCAGTGTTTCTGATTTCTAGCTTTTCCTTTTAATTCTTTCTTAGAGTTTTCAGCTCTCTGCTTACATTACCATCTGCTCTACCATGTCGTATGCTTTTTCCAGTAGAGTTCCTAACATATTAGCTATTTTAAATCCCCTGTATGATAAATCCAAAATCTGTGTCATATCTGAATCTGTTTCTGCTGCTTACTTTGTCTTTTCAGACTGTACTTTTATTACCTTTAGCATGCCTTATAATTTTTTGTTGAAAGCCTGCCACAAAGGCAACCAAAGCAAAAATGGACAAATGGGATCACATCAAATTAAAAAGCTTCTGCACAGCAAAAGAAACAGTCAACAAAGTGAAGAGACAATGCACAGAATGGGAGAAAATATTTACAGTATTTCGGAGAAAATATAGAAACAGCTCAAGCAACTCAATAAGAAAGAAATCTAATAATGTGATTTAAGAATAAGCAAAAGATCTGAATAGACATTCCTCAAAATAAGACATACAAATGGCCAAGTATATAAAAAAATGCTCAACATCATTAATCATCAAGAAATGCAAATCAAAACCACAGTGAGATATCATCTCACCCCAGTTAGAACAGCTTCTATCCAAAAGACAGACAATAATGAAAGCTGACAAGGATGTGGAGAAAGGGGAACCCTCACACGCTGTTGGTGAGAATGTAAATTAGCATAGCCACTATGGGGAACAGTATGAAGGTTCCTCAAAAAACTAAAAATAGAGCTACCATGTGATCCAGCAATCCCCAATATACTTTTGGGTATATACCCAAAAGAAAGTAAATCAGTATATCAAAGAGGTATCTGCACTCCCATGTTTATTGCAGCACTATTCACAGTGCCAAGATTTGGAATCAACCTAAGTCTCCATCAACAGATGGATAAAGAAAATGTGGTGCATATACACAATGAAACATTATTCAGCCATAAAAAAGAATGAAATCCTGCCGTCTCCAACAATGCAGATGGAACTGGAAGACATTCCATTAAGTGAAATAAGTCAGGTACAGAAAGACAAGTTTCACATGTTCTCATTCACATGTGGGAGCTAAAAATGGAAACAATCGAACTCATGAAAATAGGGTAGAATGATGGTTACCAGAGGATGGGAAAAGCAGAAGCAGGGAGTAGGGGAAGTGAGGATGGTTAATTGGTGCAAAAGCATAGTTAAGGCCAGGCGCAGTGGCTCACGCCTGTAATCCTAGCACTTTGGGAGGCTGAGGCGGGCGGATCACAAGGTCAGGAGATCGAGACCATCTTGGCTAACAGGTGAAACCTCGTCTCTACTAAAAATACAAAAAATTAGCCGGGCATGGTGGCGGGCGCCCATAGTCCCAGCTACTTGGGAGGCCAAGGCAGAAGAATGGCGTGAACCTGGGAGGCGGAGCTTGCAGTGAGCCGAGATCCTGCCACTGCGCTCCAGCCTGGGTGACAGAGTGAGACTCTGTCTCAAAAAAAAAAAAAAGTGAAATAGAATGAATAAGATCTAATATTTGATAGCACAACAGGGTGACTGTACTCAACAATAATTATGTATGTTAGAATAACTAAAGGAGTAGAATTGGAATGTTCCTAACACAAAGAAATTATAAATGCTTGAGGTGATGCATACTCCAATTATCCTGAGGTGGTTATTACACATCGTATGCCTGTATCAAAACATCATATGTGTTCTACACATATATTCACCTACTATGTACCTATAAAAATTAAAAAATTTAAAAAACCAAAAGCTGGCCATGATGTATAGGGTAATAGCAACTGAGTTAAAAAGTGTTTAGTATGGCTGGGTGTGGTGGCACACACCTGTAATCCCAGCACTTTGGGAGGCTGAGGCAGGAGGATCACTTGAGGCCAGGAGTCCAAATTTACAGTGAGCTATGATCATGCCACTGCACTGCAGCCTGGGTGACAGAGTGTGACCCTGACTCTAAATATATATATTGTATTATATATATATAACATGTATAATATATATACGCTGGGCGCGGTGGCTCACACCTGTGATCCTAACACTTTAGGAGGCCGAGACAGGCAGATCACTTGAGGTCAGGAGTTTGAGACCAGCCTGGCCAACATGGTGAAACCCTGTCTCTACTAAAAATACAAAAATTAGCCAGGCATAGTGGCAGGCGCCTGTAGTCCCAGCTACTAGGGAGGCTGAGGCAGGAGAATCACTTGAATCCAGGAGGCGGAGGTCGCAGTGAGCCGAGATGGCACCACTGCACTCCAGCCTGGGTGACAGAGCAACACTGCCTCAAAAAAAAAAAAAAAATTATTTAGCATAAATCTTAATGTTAATCTGGCTAAGAGCTGGGTGTGTTTAATGTTTTGCCCTTCAGATGTAGGTGCCAGAGGCTTCAAATGTATCTGGTGTCCTTGTTTTTGTCTCCTCCATTGTCTTTGGGCTTCCCTAAGAGCTCCTCCTTTAATAGAGGCTGCTCCTTGTGGCTCTTTGAGCTGTAATCTGCTGTTATTATACTGGAGCCTTGTTGATGTGGTGGTATAATGTGAGGAGGGAAAATGTTATATAATCATAGGATTTAATCTCAGTCTTTTTGTGGGCCTTTGTCCTGGGCTGGGGTCTTTACAACTGTTTCTTAGCTTCCCTCATCCCTTTAGGTGAGACAGGAAGACTAAAGGGAGCTGGAGTTGGGTAACTACCCTTCCCCCAGGGGGGCTAAGGCTCTGGGAAAGTTTCCTCCCCTGAAGAGTAGGTCTTTGTTATAGAGAACATTCTGGGTAGATTTTTAAATGGTTGCTTTTCCTCTACCCCTGCTAGAGCCACAGGGAACTCTTTCTTGGCTCTCATTGTGAGAACTTACAGAGTTCCTGGAGGTAAAACCCTCAAGAGTGTGGGTGGTACCTAAGGTTGTGGCCCTCCTAGACTTTTTCACTCTCCTGGTGGTCCACGCTCAACCTCCAGCGATTCATCAAATTAGCATTTAAGCGTTCCTACCAATTTATGGCTCCAGCAGCTTCTGCTCCGGATAAGCTCATCTGAGCTGTGTTTTTCTGTATTTGTCTGTCTCTCCATATTTCAAGGTAGTGATTTGTCCTGAAACCTCAATTCTTTGATGGGTCCAAGAAAAGTCACTGATTTTCCATTGTCCGTTTTTTTTCTTGTTATAAGGACAGAAATGACAATGTCCAAGTTCTTTACATGCTAGAGCTGAATCCAGAAGTCTATTGTTTTCTTTTATGTTTCAGTAAAATTATACAAAATTCAAAATACACAGCCATCTGAACCCACTTAGTGTGAGGTCAAGGCATCCTATATACAAGATTATAAGGGCAACAGAATACTATAGTAGGCACCCTAACTCATCAAGAAAAGGCTAAATCACGTTCCAAATACTTTACTAAACAAAGCAAAGAAGTATGTATACATTTTCTAAAGCTCATCAAAATGATTTAACTTTAAGTTTGAGCACCCAAGGATTAAACCTTTTAATCCTTTGGCACAACTCATCCTTTTGGAGTTCCAAAAAGCTGAAGTTTTACCACACAGGCTCAAAATAGCTGAGTAAAAATATTCTAAATCAGGCTGTAGTCGTCTTTTCTTTTCTCAGTTATTAAGAAAACAGCTACACTTTAGAAATTTATAGATAAATCGGCCTCCATGTAAATGGACTCTGGGCCAGATTCCTTCCAGTGTCATGAGGTCAGGGCCACAGTACATTCCCAAAGGGAGAGGCATTCAGCTCTGCTGTGACCTGGAAATCTCCACTTGGCTCCTTCTGTCTCTAGCAAGAAAAGCTGGACTCTCAGAATACCCCCAGCTACCCTGAAAGCTGGGATGGCTGAAATAAAGGTGCCATACTCATGTGCTAATGAATAAATGAAGCTGCCTAGTGGAATGAGGTTGTAGGGGGTGCTGAAAAAGCTTCTTTCTCTCTTCTCTTAAAAAAGTTGGTCTTTCTTTTTGTGAGTGGGTGCACGCGCACGCACACACACACACACGCACCAGGCCTCTAACCTAAAAAAAACTCTTTACTTTCCAACTGTCTCAAATTACTCAAGATAATATTCCCTTCTCTGAGATCTCAGAATATTCAGGTTCTATCTTGATTTCTGCTCTTCGCCTTCTGGAATCCAACCCCCTTTCTCAAAACTCAGGTTCTTTATGGGTCTCACTTCTGTGGCATTCCTCACTTTTGGCCTGTCACAATTTGTCCTAACCTGTCGTGTGCTGCTATAACAGAATACCACAGACTAGGTAATTTATAAGAAACATAGCCTTATATTTTACAGTTCTGGAGTCTGAGAAGTCCAAGATCAAGGGGCCTACATCTGGTAAGGTGTATGGTGGGCGCACCTGAGAGCAATAATGTCACTTAAGCATAACCTGAAGACAACCTGTGGTCTGAGAAGAATGTGTGTTCAGAGTTCTGAGCTGAAGAATCCAGGAGTGGCCAATGCAGAGATTTGCTCCTTATCTGAGGAGGACATCTGAGCCTCTGGCCCATCCCTTGGAACACAGGCCATACAGGGGATTGAGGCCCTGTGCTTTGGGTCAGATGGAGGTTGCTAGGTGGAGGTTGATAAGTGAAAATGCCATATAAACTGCATTCTTTCTACAAACTGTAGCAGCCTTCCCATCCAGCCTGCCACCACTGGACTGCCCCATATGTAAGTCCCCCCAGTAAACCCTCATTTGCTGGCTCCAGGACTTTTTTTTTTTTTTTTCCTCTCAGACAAAGTGCCATCCCTATTGGAATCAACAGGGGTCCGGCACTACACAAAGGAGCTTCATGAAGCATCACCTAATGGCAGAAGGCAGAAGGGCAAAAGAGCACATATGCATGAGAGAGAGAGGGAGAGGGAGAGAAAGAAGTGGGAGAAACTCATCCTTTTATCAGAAACCCATTCCTGAAATAACTAACCCATTCTCAAAGATAACTGTGTTAATCCATTAGTGAGGGCAGAGTCCTGCGGGCTGGAGCTGTATGCCAGTGGCCCTAGAGTTCTGGGATCTCAGGGCTGCCCACTCTGCAGTTCCACTGAGCATTGCCCTGAGGTCCCCAGCAGCCTTGCTCCTAAGGATTCACTGAGCATTGCCCTAGCGGGGGCTCTGCAGTGGCTCCGCCCTGCACTGAGTCCCTGCCTGGGCCCTCATACTGTCTAAAACATCCTTTGAAGTCTAGATGGAGACTGCTATGGGCCCATAGCTCTTGCATTCTGCACACCTGCAGAATCAGCTGCCACCAAGGTTTACAGTTTGTATGTTTCAGAGCAGTGGTTGAGCCACATCTGGGGCCACCACTTGATTCACAGCTGGAGCAGCTGAGCACTGCACCAGAGTATGGGAAGCAGAGACTCAAGGTGGTACAGGGTAGCAAATGCTTTGGAAAACTTGCCCTCAAGGTTGTACCTTGCTCTCTCTCACCACTTCTTCACCATTCTGCCATGGGATGATGCAGTGAGAAGGCCCTCACCAGATACCAGCCCCTCAGTCTTGGACTTCTCAGCCTCAGGAACAATGAGCCAATGAGTTCTTCTTTATTATAAATTTCCCAGTCTCGGGTATAGCCACACAAAATATATTAAGACAGAAAACTGGTACTGAGAAGCAGGGTGTTGCTATAACAAATACCTAAAAATATAGAAGCAGCTTTAGAAGAAGCCCCATATGTGGCTCAACCACTGCTCTGAAATGCCTTCAGGGTCATTCTCCCACTGTCTCGATAAATAGAACCTGGCTTCCCTCTACCCATATTAATCTCTTTAGAAAATGCTTGCTTGGCCATATCCTTCATATTCTCTCCCAGACACACTTTTTAATTCTTTACCTGGCCAGCTTGACAGTTTCCCAAATCTTTCCATTCTGTTGCCCTTTTAATTATGCATTCTGTCTAAATCATTTCTCCCTTCTCTCGTTTTATTGTAAGCAGCCAAAAGAAGCCCTGCAACACCCTGGACACTTTGCTGCTTGGGTATTTCTTCTGCCGGGTATCCTAGTTCATTGCTCTTAATTTCTGCCTTCCTCAAAGTCCTAGGACACTGACACAATTCAGCCAAGTTTGGTTTTTTTTTTTCAACTGTATAACAAGAATGGCCTTTATTCCAGTTTCCAACACCTTGTCCCTCATTTCCATCAGAGACCCCATCAGGATGGCCTTTATTGTCCATACTTCTAGCAACATTCTGATCACAACCACTTAAGTAAAATCCCTAAGGATATTTAGGCTCTCCCTGCAGCTCTCCTCTTCTGAGCCCTCATGAGAATCACCCTTAAAGCTCCGTTCGTGGCAATCTAGGCTTTTTCTAGACCATTCCTTCCAATTATTTCAGCCTCTACTCATTACGCACTTCTAAAGCTGCTTCTATATTTTTAGGTATTTGTTATAGCAACACCCTGCTTCTCAGTACCAGTTTTCTGTCTTAATATATTTTGTATGGCTATACCTGAGACTGGGTAATTTATAGTAAAGAGGAACTTACTGGCTCATTGTTCCTGAGGCTGAGGGCTGGTATCTGGTGAGGGCCTTCTCACTGCATCATCCCATGGCAGAAGGGCGAAAAAAGGGGCGAGAGAGAGCAAGAGATTGAATTCACAGTCTCAAGCCCTTTTATGATCAGTATTAACACATTCATGAAGGCAAAGTCCTCATGACCTAATCACCTCTTAAAAGTCCCACCTCTCGACACTGTTGCATTGGGGATTAAGTTTCCAACACATAAACTCTGGGGGACACATTCAAACCATAGCAATATTTTCTCTCTTCTAGACTAAAGGACCTTAAGAGCAGGGCCCATGTCTTATTCCTCTTAACTCTTCCATCTCCCAAGATCCTGATATGTACGATGCCTCACCCAAACACACTTGGCAAGTGCTTATTGTGTTCACTTATTGTTCTAATAATAATAAACAGATAACACATATTGAGTTCTTACCATGTGACAGACACTCTTCTAGGTACTTCACATGTATTAATTCATTTAATCCTCCTAATATCCCTAATATTGTCCCCATTTTACAGATGAGGAAACTGGTACACAATTTGGTAACTTTCCCCAGGTCACAAAGCCAATACCTCATGGCAGAGCTAATATTTGAATCTGGGTCTATATCTGGTTCCATTGACTATCTTCTAAATCACTTGGCTGTATTGCTTTCCCGATGCACATAAGACCCTGAAATGATTTATCAACTTAGTCCATGCAAAGCTATCCTTTAGTGTCTTAGCAACAGAATATTGGCAGTGATATAAGACAGTTTTCACTTTCCAACAGGTTTTTGTTTGTAACTACAACTGCATTAAAAATGAGTTCTATAGTTTTTGTTCCCACCCAAGCAGTCCTTGCACCATCTTTGTAGTTGCACTCAGGCACGTGTGGAAGAGATAACAGAGGTGGGGAGTTTCATTTGACTCCTTTTCAAATTTGAGATCCAGGAGGAATAGTGTAGACTTACGACACTGGTGAAAAGCAAAAATATTGTGTTAGTCTGTTGGCATTGCCATAAAGAAGTACCTGAGGCTGGGTAATTCATAAAGAAAAGAGGCCAGGCGCAGTGGCTCACACCTGTAATCCCAGCTCTTTGGGAGGCCAAGGCAGGCGGATCACCCGAGGTCAGAAGTTCAAGACCAGCCTGACCAACATGGTAAAACCTCATCTCTACTAAAAATACAAAAATTAGCTAGGGATGGTGGCATGCACCTGTAATCCCAGCTACTTGGGAAGTGGAGGCACGAGAATTGTTTGAACCTGGGAGGTGGAGGTTGCAGTGAGCCGAGATCTCGCCATTGCACTCCAGCCTGGGTGACAGAGTGAGACTCTGTCTCAAACGAAAGAAAGAAGGAAAGGAAGGAAGGAAGGAAGAGAGAGAGAGAGAAAGAAAGAGAGAAAGAAGAAAGAAAGAAAGAAAGAGAGAAAGAAGAAAGAAAGAAAGGAAGAAAGAAAGAAAAAAAGACAGAAAGAAAAGAAAAGAAAGAAAAGAGTTTTAATTGGCTCACAGTTCTGCAGGCTATACAGGCACAGTGCCAGCATTTGCTTGGCTTCTCATGAGACCTCAGGAAGCTTACAATCATGGTGGAAGGTGAAGAGGGAGGGGGCATATCACATGACGAGAGGGAGTGCAAGAGAGAGAGGGAGAAGTTGCCAGGCTCTTTCAAACAACCAGCTTTCACATGCAGTACCAGTATCATGGGGGTGGTCCCAAGCCATTCATAAGGGGTCCATGCCCATGACCCAAACACCTCCACCAGGCCCACCTCCAACATTAGAGGTTATATTTCAACATGAGATTTGGAGGGAACACACATCCAAACCATATCAAACATCATCCTAACCTGTGACTCAGAACACTTCTCATCTCACTTTCTAGCTGTCGAGACATGGGCCCCATGGCGGTTTCTCTTTGTGTGGGCCTCTGAGTCCTAATCTATCCAAAGGCCCTGAAAGTCACTATCTGGAGCACACCAAAGCAACATTCCTTGGGGCTGCTCTTTGTCTTCTACTACAGGACTAGGAGAGGGGATTGGCAGCCAGGGCGAACAAGCCACACTAGAGGAGGCTCTAGCTTACCACTGTCTCCTCTAGGAGTCCTGTAGGTTTCCAAGCCCTGCTCTAGAGTGGCGCTTCTCAGACTTCAACATGCATGTGAACTACTTGGGTATCTTGTTAAGATGGAAATTATGTAGGTCTGGGGTAATGACTAAGATTCTACCTTTCTAACGAGCTCCCAGGGGATGCCAGTGCTACTGGTCCATGAACCACACTTTGAGCAACAAGACCCTGGATTATCTGAATCTGTTCTAGCCACTTAGCACTTTAATAAGCACATTGAGGCTTCAGGTATAGAAACAGCCTCAAGTTTTAGCTTTGATGGTGTTAGCAGCAATGGTGATAATGGAGGATTTGGGGGAGAAAATTCTGTCTCAGGCACCTCGCTCCTCCACTCCTCTTCCACTCAGGCATTGGCAATGGCAGTGGTGGTGGTGGTGGCATGGTGATGATAATGGTGCTGATGATGGTGGAGATGGTAGTTATGGTATAGGTGTTGATGGTGGTGGTGGTGATGGTGATGGTAGTAGTAATGGTTGTGATGGTGATGGTGATAGTGATGGCGTTTGTGGCAATGGCAGTGCTAGAGGTAGAAGCAGTGGTGATAATAATTAGTATGTTATATCATGTATGGCCTTAAAGTTATCAAAGCATTTTTCCACATTTTTTTCATGGTAGAAAAGAAAAAGAACAGGATTCACAGTCAGAAGACATGCGTTTGAGATACAGCTCTACCACCTTCTGGTTTTGTGATCCTTGGCAAATAACATTATCTCTCTGCATTTCCCTTATCTATAAAGTGGGGTAATAATATCTCCCAGTATTGTTCTGAGGCTTACATGAGCTAGCTCTTAGCAAGGGTTTCTATACCACAAATATGCAGAGTTTCCAGATTCTGATCTTGATCAGGTGCCTGGCTAAGGAGAAAGGGGCTCTCAGGGCAAGAAAACATGACATGCAAGCAAAGCCTGTGGTGGAAGGTGGGCAGAACCAGGTGTATTAGTCAGGGTTCTCCAGAGGGACAGAACTAATAGGAAAGATGTATATATGAGGAGGGATTTATTAAGGGTATTGACTCACATAATCATAAGACCCACAATAGGCCGTCTGTAAGCTGAAGAGCAAGAAAGTTAGTCCAAGTCCCAAGCCCGTGAGCTCCTGGAAAACCACTGGTATAAGTTCCAAAGTCCAAAAGCTAAAGAACTTAGACATTTGAGGGCAGAAAGTATCCAGCATGGGAGAAAGATGAAGGCCAGAAGACTCCACAAGTCTGCTCTTTTCTTCTGCCTACTTTATTCTAGCCACGCTGGCAGTTGATTAGATGGTGCCCACCCAGATTGAGGGTGGGTCTGCCTCTCCCAGTCCACTGACTCAACTGTTAATCTCCTTTGGCAACACCCTCACAGACACACCGGGAACAATACTTTGCATCCTTCAAACCAATCAAGTTGACACTCAATATTAGCCATCACACCAGGATGGCCCCTGACCTACAGGCTGATCACTTTGTTTTAAGCTGCGCCATCATCAGTTGGCTCTGTGGAGCTAATTGCTGCCTTCCTTTTGTCCTTTTATTGAAGGCTGCACATTTCCAGAAAGAAAGGCCATGGCTGGTGTAAGGAAAAGGATCTCTGAATGTGGAGGGGGAGGTCTGGAGTCTAGCCTCAGCGCAGCCACTATCTCTGTAGATAATAGGGGCCAATATCCTCCCCCTTCCTCCTCCCCACTCCCACTCCAGTGAAATAAAAGGGTTGGACTGGCTATCTCTGATGACCCTTCCATTGCAAAAACTTGTGGGGGTGGGTGGGCTCCCTGGACAGCCTTCCTCCAGGATAGGGGAGACAGCACAAAATTCTAATTAGAAGGTTGGGGTCCCAAGACCCTATAGCCTGTCTTGGTTCACTCCAACGCTGGATCTGGCCAGGGATAAAGAGAACCTAGTCTGTGGGCAATGCCAGGCTTCAGGCAGTACCCACAGCCCCTCAGCCCCACAGTGTCACATTGGCAATGCTTGATTTTGAAAAGGTCCAGGGAGAAACTTATTGATAGAGGCTGGAAGTTGGTTGGCCACATTAAGAACTCAGCCTCCCCTTCACTTCATCCTACTAGCTACAAAAGGAGCTTTGTCTGCCATTGGGCAGCCAGTCCAGGATGTGACCACCAGATGGAACTCAGTCTGTAATAGGCAGCAATGGCTGCACAGAAACACGTGACTCCAAGCACTGCATCCCCAGTGCTGGAAGCCCTCTGCATCCATCCAGGTCTGGGTAGCTGGGGCTAGCTTGGCTCTGAAGAGCCAGGGGCCTGGGATGAGCACAAGCTCAGGCCACCCTTCTTTTCCCATGACTCCTATGCTCATCCTGAAAATGAACAGAAATTGCTAGGAATGCAGCTGGGTGAGCTAAGGGATTTTCCTTTTCCTGTGATTCCCTCTCACATAATATTCAAGGAGCTGTCCAGGTTATTACCTGGGTTAGGAGAGAATATGTCTAAGAATATTGTCCTTTGAGTGATAGGGCAGAACCTTGGATTCAGAGCCTGCATCATCTCCCCTTCTTCCCTCTCCCCAACTTCCTGCCTAGCCTGGTGGCTGACCAGGCTCCATCATACCTGAGGGCTAAACTGTGAGGCAGAGAAAATTCTGTCTCAGACACCTCACTGCTCCGCGGGCCCTCTTCAACTAGACTTCCAGGACCATCTCAATCTCCTCCTATACCATTCCCACCTACACACCCAGCTGCTCACTCTTTCTAGCCTCAGAGGCTCCTGCCTCCTGCTCTCAGCAGGACCTCATGGTTGAAAAGTGATCTGTATGCCAATATAAACTAGTTGTGATTTCCTCATGGGCAGGGATTATGCCTTTCCTCTCTGTGTCCCCAAGCCCTCCACGGTGCCTGGCACCCCAGAGTCATGTAATAAGTTTGTAGAATCTCTGATAGAATGAATAAACACTGAGTGAGTAAGTGAATGAATGCTAGTGTTAAAAATAAGTTATATGGGCCGGGCGTGGAGGCTCATGCCTGTAATCCCAGCACTTTGGGAGCCCAAGGCAGGTTGATCACCTGAGGTCAGGAGTTCAAGACCACAACATAGCAAAATGCCATTTCTATTAAAAATGCAAAAATTAGCCGGGCATGGTGGTGCACATCTGTAGTCCCAACTACTCCGGAGGCTGAGGCAGGAGAATTGCTTGAACTGGGGAGGCAGAGGTTGCAGTGAGCAGAGATCGTGCCACTGCACTCCAGCCTTCCAGCCTGGATGACAGAGCGAGACTCTGTCTCAAAAAAGAAAAAAAAAAAGTTATAAAGAGGAGGAGAGGCAGAAAGAAAAAAAAATCATACTTAATGAGATACTTCTCCCAGCGGTATGTGCAATTTGTTCCTTTAACTTAATCCCAATGGCACAGCATTTTCCCAGTGGTTGTAAGAGCTCACCAAGTAGGTGACTTCCCTAAAAGTAAATTTTCCTTTACTTCCCTGTGTGGGGTAAGCGTAGGGGGCTGTTTCTGGGAGAGGAAAGCTGCACAGGCAAGACAGGAAGGAAGCAGTAATTTTTTGGCCCTCTGGAAACGTTGCCTAAAGGCATCTTGGATTCAGCCCAGCCTGCAAAAAGAGAATCATTCAACACTGTGGGCGCCCCAGCTGCAGAGAAGCATTGAAAGAGTTTGGTCCATCCACAGGCAAGCGGCCAGGTCTGTGGCCGCAGCAAATGAAATACTCAGTAGAGAGGATAAAAGCCAGAGGAGAGATGGAAAGTGCTCATACCTGGAGATCAGAGAAGGGCGTACCATGGAGGGAGCAGGTGAGAAGGGAAATAGAGTTTGGATACACACATATTACGGGAAAGCCTTTCCAGGCAGGGGAAACAGAGAGAATCAAGGCCTGGACAACCAGAAGATACAGATGTGCTGGGCGAAGAGTTTGGCAGGGCACAAGGTACCTGAAGTAATAGGAAACAAATCCGGAAAGGTCAGGTGGGATCCAATTATGGAGGGCTTTGGGTCATGCCAAAGAATTTGAACTTTATTCCATAGGCAATGGGAGCATTCTTTATTTATTTTATTATTATTATTATTATTATTATTATTATTATTATTATTATTATTATTATTTTAGACTGGGTCTTGCTCTGTTGCCCAGGCTGGGATGCAGTGGCACGATCTTGGCTCACTGCAACCTTCACCTCTCACGTTCAAGCGATTCTCCTGCCTCAGCCTCCCGAGTAGCTGGGATTACAGGCACCCACCACCACACCTGGCTAATTTTTGTATTTTTGGTAGAGATGGGGTTTTGCCATGTTGCCCAGGTTGCAATGGGAGCATTCTAAGATCTCTTAGCAGAAGAGTGGCTTAATTAGGGAAATAAATCAAAATTTGCTCAACACCAAGGGCTAGGCACTCTACAAATGTTATCAAATGTAATTTTCACAGTACTCCATGAGCCAGGTGACATAATTCCCATTTTTCAGTGGAGGAAATTGAAGAGTAAAGAGATTAGGAACTTGCCCAAGTCACACAGCTGGTAAGTCCTCTTGTAAGTATGCGATAGCTATCTCTTGCGCATGCCTCATGGAGAAGCTGAACAAGAACACACTCCAGCAAAACTGGAGTGAGCATCAAAGGAACAAAAGGGTAATGTGAGAATACATGAAATGGTAGAATTAACCCAAGATCCCAGTGAAAAGAAATTACAGGGTGACAACTGTTTAGTGAGCCTCAGAATAAATTGGTGTTCAGTAAAATGGCAGTGAGTCTCAAGAAGAATGTCTTCCAGAAGAATAGAATGGATTTCAAGCAATACAAGAAATGAGTAAGAAGCTAAACAATAATTGGGGCATGATGGCAAAGACCTAGTTTTCTTTACCCAAGCAGAAAAAAAGAAAGTAATCAAAAACCCTGGGAAAAACAAACCATTAAACAAGAAAGTCACAGTCCAAAAACAAAGCAATGTAAGAGGTAAGATGCATTTGAGCAAATGGTGGCACATAAAACAAGAAAGTCTGTTTGATCCAGTGGCTAAGAATATCATCCTTTGAGTGACAGAGGCATCTGCCCTTGATATGTAGGGAAGGAAATATTATCACAGCCCATTACCAGAAATTGTGCTCATTTATCCGCACAAAATACTCTACTTGAAGTGCCGTTTGATAGTTTTCAACTTTTAGAATGGACCATAGACAATGAAGAGAAGAGCTCACTATGGTTTTGGGACAGGATGTAATGTTACCACACTTGACAATGTAAAAATCAATAGCTGATAGAAGAGATGAGACAGGAGGAGGAGAGGAAAGGACAAGGGAGGTGATTCTAATACCTTACCATACAGAGTAAGGAGCCAAGTACTACTTGGAGCTGATGAAACAAAGCTATGGATAGAGGAACTAGAAATAATGACTGCATCAGTGAGGATTCAAGAAAAAGGGAACTATTGTAAGGATTAGACTTTATGCAGTTATGGGACCTGACTAAACACTCTACATGAGTATTGCCTCTGTGTCTGGTATTGGGCTTGAGGTCAGCAGAACTGGGAGCTGGGAAGAAAGATTGGAGTGGGGAAGGGAAAGGACAACCTGAAACCCACAAGGACCTGAAACCAACAAGGACCTGAAACCAACAAGGACAAACAAATTTGCATCTGCCTCTTTCTGCCTTCACTCTCCAGGGTGTGGGTGATCTTCTGGATAAGCTGGTGTTCCCATCATGGAACTACAGACACATCTGGCCCAGGACACAGAGGAGCTGAAGGAGGAGAATGGGAACAGCTGGAGGAGCCATAAACAGCATGCCAGCAAGGTGACACTCATGCTAACTTCAACAGTACCTGGCCTGCACCAACCTTCAGACAGTAAAAATGGCTGTTGCTTCACTTCTGCCTTCCAAATTTGCACAAACTTCCCTCATGGCTAACCCTAAGTTGGAACCACACAGGGGAGGTAATTTGGGGAAATGTAGTCCCTGCTTAGTTAATTTGACACAATACAAATTAATATGTTCTGAAAAACTTGAAGAGGGACAAAGGTGATTGTTGCAGGTTGGGTTCCTTGGAAGCAGGTACTGAGAGTTTGGCACACATAATATATGGTAGGACAACACCTGTGAAAAGAAGGGGAAGGAGGAAGTTTGGGCAGATGGAGAAGCTGAATTGTGATGCAGACCCAACAAAACCTTCACCAACCCTACCCAGAGCACTGAAGTGAGTATTGACCCTTAAAGTGTCCACGTTTGAACTAAAATAGCCTGGCCTTTATACCCTCACCTTGCTCAGTCACTGGATATGGGCTGCCCCAGGAACAGCATGACCTTGGGCAAGGTGGCTCTGTGCAGCTGAGGCAGACCCTGAAAGAGCCAGCAGCTGATGGCCATCTGCTGACTACACTCCCTGCTGCTGGGCAGCAAGCCCATTTGTGAAGAGAGGTCTGTGTCATGCATCTCTGTGTCTACCAGAGTATATGGATGACTTAAGTCCTGCTTGCTAGGGGTTGAATGTCCCTTCCAAAACTCATGTTAAAATGTAATTGCCATTGTAACAATGTAGAGAGGCAGAACCTTTAGGGAGGTGATTAGCAGGCTGAGCATGGTGGTTCATGCCTTTAATCCCAGCACTTTGGGAGGCTGACATAGGCAGATCACAAGGTCAGGAGTTTGAGACCAGCCTGGCCAACATAGTGAAACCCTGTCTCTACTAAAAATACAAAAATCAGCCGGGCATGGTGGCGCACACCTGTAATCCCAGCAACTTGGGA